>NC_000003.12:104311634-104614664 GCF_000001405.40 Homo sapiens
TATGCCTCAGCCCCAGCAGTGGTAGCTGATGCTTTGGTTGTGTCTCAGCTCTGGCAGTGTCAGCTCATGCCTCACTTGTGCCTCAGCTATAGGAGCATCAGCCTGTACTTCTCTTCTACTTCAGACCTGGGAGCACTGGGCCTCAAAACGGTCTGCAGCCTGTTCAAGGCAGGGCTCTAAAATGGCACCTCATTAACTTCCTAGGTCTCAGGGAGTGTGTGGGACCAAGTGTGAGCTTCCTCTCTGAAGCAGTGCTGTCACACAATCTCTAGATGCTCCCTAGTTAGTTTCATGGCCTGTGAATGTCAAGGGGCTCTCCCATACCTAGGATTGTAAGAGTCCATGGTGTGAGTGTGGGCAGCTGAGGGTCTCTCACTTACCCTTGTCCTATATTGAGGAGTCTCTTTCGGCTCCCAGGCAATCCCAGCCAAACAGGCTGCCTTGCTTCCCTCTCCTTATTTGTTTTAGTTATTTCTAGTCACTTGTTTTGTTGTTGAATTCCTGTATTGTCTCTTGGGTGATCTATTAAAATGTGATCCTCTACTCACTATTTTGGTTCTTAGTCAGGAAGGTGCTTACAGTCAGCTGTCTTAAAGCTCCTGATAATAGATATTTTAAAATACTATGCTTATCAACTGATAATTACACAGATTTTTCAAATGTGCAAATAACTTATTTCAAAATAAAGCTATGAAAAGATGCTCAGCATATTTAATTATCCAGATAAATTAAAATTCAAAATCATATCATTATGCAGTCACTAGAATTGCTAAAATAAAAGACCAACAACACAACATGTAGGAGGAAGGGCAAAGCAATTAGTACTCTCATGTACTGCTGGTGTCATAATAAAATAAAACATACAATTAACTTATCACCCAACAATTCCCAGAAGTGTTCCCAAGAAAAATATAAAAATATATTTAATAAAAAAACTTATCCGTTTCAGAATTAAATAATGTTAATGAAAGAATGTTAATTGAAATGTTATTCTGAATGACAAAAATAAAAAAATCAAAATATTCATCAAAAGGATAACAGAAAAATAAATTATAGTATATACAGCCATTGGATACTATTTAGTTATCAAAAGGATAAAATACCTAGTTGATTACATGTATGTATCTCAATATTTTGTTGTGTTAAAAAACACATTTTGAAGAGTACCTACTATATGTTTTATTTCTATGAATATCAATAACAGGGAAAATAAGCCTATATGCATAGAAATCAGAAAAGTGCTTGGCTTTAAGATTGAGAAGAAGAAAAATAGGCAAAATAGATGAAAGGATAGAGGGTCCCAACAGAGAATTGTAATCTATTTAAACAGATCAAATAACACTGTAAAAGTGAATAATAAATTATTTAAAAGTTAACTCAGTAAATGTGTTTAACATATTTGAATTAAAATAAAAGAACACAGAAACATGGGAATGCAGGAGAGAATGAAGAACATCAAAAAAGACAAATGTATGGATAAATATAAATAAATATTGACTATGCACAACAATAATTGTAATTTTTTAAGTTATACATAGAAATGAAAATTTAGAGACCACCAACGAAGAAGATAAGAGTTGAGCAAATGGAGTTTAAAAGATATAATTTTCCTGTCATATTGGTAAAATGTAAACATATTTATTTCTATTATATTAAATAAAGGCATAGTAAAAAAGATATAAGAGAGTATATAAATAGCATTTAAACAGAAAGAAAAATAAAATGACAAAGCATGGATAAAACTGAAAAAAAAATAAAAGGAAAAAGAAAAAGAAGCAGATGGTCAAATTAGGAAATCAATGGTAATAAGGCAGAAAAACTTGTTAAGTAATTATGTTGAATATAAATGGACTATGTAAATCCAAGTAAAATATAAAACTGTTAAATGGTTAAAAATGCAAGCTTACTTGTATGCTGCTTACATGATATGCATTTTAAATATGTTAGGAATAATGTTGAAGGTAAAAGCATATACAAAATGTTATGCAAATATTAACTATGAGAAAGCTGGAGTAACTATAGTAATACCAGACAAAGAAATTAAAGCAAGAAGCACTGCAAGATGTAAAGCAAGATATTTTAAAATAATTAATAAAAGTTTAAATCTAAAGGAAACTGCCAAAATTCTAAATCCGTGTTTACCTAACAGTATAGCTTCATAAAGAAAAAAAAAACTGACAGAATAAAAGCATAAAGAAATTCACTAATATAGATGTAGATTTAACAACAACAAAAACCTATTTAATATCTATTATAGTAACCACACCACACATCAATAATAATTTGAAATAACAGTTCTGGTAATGAAATTATAATAAATGACAACAATTCCACTAGTTTGATGAAATTTCCAATTTAAAAAAATTTGTATAAAATATTCACAAAAAGCAAGTGTGTATTATTTTATAAAAAAAGCCTAAACAAATGTCTTAAGATTTTAAGCTTTTGTATCTTCTAACAACAAAGGGTGAAATTGTGATTAAAATATGAAATTGAAACTAGAGAAACAAAAAATACCAGGAAGTTAAGCAATATACATTTAAATGTCAAGGAAGACATCAATGAAAATTTGAAAATATTATGACATCAATGATAATAAAGTAGAATATATAAAAGATTATGGTTTGCAGCTAAAACTGTAGTGTAGAAAAATGTATTAGAAAGAAATGCTGAAACTCAATGATTAACCTAACTCATTAAATCAGAAAATCCGTAACATTAAATTAAACTTAAGAAATGTAGAGGAGAAAATAATAAAGTCATGAACAACATATAAAGAAATGTAAAAATAATTTAGAATAGAAAATATCAACAACTATAATGAGGACATATTACAAAAAAATCAACAATTATAATGAGGACATACTACAAACAAACAATAAATTTTAATATTTGACAAAATGGATTAAATGTATAGGCACTTCAAAATAACTGATTGAAACCAAAAGAAACCAAAAGAAATATAATATTTTAATCTATTTTCTATTAAATAAATGTAATGTTTTAATAACCTATATGCATTTACATACATTCAGAAATACAAATAGCTTTATTGTTTAATTCTTCCAAGTATTTAAAGAAGAAATAACACCAATCTTATATAGTGTTCCAGAAAATATTGTAATAAGTAACATTTTGTAAACTTTTTTATGAGGCCAGAATCAATTTAATTTTTCTATTTCACAAAGATACTAATAACAAAAGAAATTATGAAACAATCTTTGTCATAAACATAGTTAAAAATTTATGAACAATTAAGCAAATATAATCCAACAACATGTAAAAATAAAAATTTAGTATAACCAAAAAATAGATTCAACATAATAATGATTCCATCTTGCTTTTTTTTGAAAGAACATGGCATACCGATTCTATATAAATACAACAAGCAAAAAAAGAAAACCATGATAATCATGAGAAATAAAAGACTTTTAACAGCCTGTCAGAGTACTGAAACTGATATAAAAGTATCCTAATTAAGACATTGTGGTACTTACATAGAATAGGAAAATGACAAATAAATCAAAAGAGTTTAGAAGCATTTCTCCAAAATCAGCACATCAGAAAACTTTTTAGAATTTTTTTTAATAACTAGTGTTTGAACAATTATATATCTGTATAAACAAAAATGTGACTTGTCTTATCTGGCAAAACTTACATCATTTAGTTTCAGATGGATTTCACCTAAATATAATATTTTTAAAATAAAGATTAAGAAGACATCCTAATGACTTTGATTTAAGCAAAAGTTCTTAAACATGACTCACAAATCACTAACAATAAAATACAAAGTAATACATTGACATACACTGAAGTTATAAACTTGTATGCTTTAATAGTGTATTAGTCCAGTCTTACACTGCTATAAAGAACTACCTGAGACTGAGTAATTTCTACAGATAAAAGGTTTAATTGACTCACAGTTCCACAGGCTGTACAGGAGGCATGGTTGTGGAAGCCTTGGTAAAATTACACTCAGGGCAGAAGGGTGAAGGAGAAACAAGCACATATTCACATACCAGCAGGAGAGAGAGATCTAAGGAGGAAGTGCTACACACTTTTATTAGGTTGGTGCAAAGGTAATTGTGGTTTTTGTATTACTCTCGATGGCAAAATTGCAGTTACTTTTGCACCAACCTAATAAACAACCAGATCTCATAAGAACTCTATCCAGAGATAGCACTAGGGGGATGGTGACAAACCATTAGAAACCACCTCCAGGATCCAATCACCTCCCACAAGGCCCCGCCTCCAACACTCAGAATCACAATTCAACATGAGATGCGGGTGGGGACACTGGGGCAAACCACATGAAATACAAAGTAAAATGAAACCCATAGTAAAAAGAAAGATGTCTACTAGGAGGTGGAGCAAAAGACAAAATAGAAGCCTCCATTGATTGCCACCCATCCCCACAAGGACACCAATTTCACAAATATCTAAACACACACACACACACATACACAAAACAAAACAAAACAAAACAAAAAACCTTCATAAGAAAAAAAATCAGGTAAGCCCTCATAATACCCGGTTTTATCCTCACATTGCTGAAAGAGGCAATGAAGAGGTAGAAAAAACAGTCTTGGATCACTCACAGATGCCAACCCTCTCTCACCCACCAGCAGCAGTTGCTGTGGAGTGCAGCTCTGGGCAGTGAGGGAGGGAGAGCACAGCAACTGTGAGTCATTAAACTCAGTGCAGTCCTGTTAGAGCAGAAAAAGAAAATGGATCAAACTCAACTAATGCCTGCACACAGAGGGAGCATTTAAACCAGCTGTAGCCAGAAGGTAATTGCCAATCCTAGCAGTCAGAATTTGAGTTTTTGGAAACCTAGCCACTAAGGGCTAAAGTGCTCTAAGTCTCTAAGTAAACTTGATAGGCAGCATAGGCCACAAGGACTATAATTCTTAGGTGAGTCCTAGTGGAGAACTGGGCCCAGAGACAGTGGACTGGGAAGCATACGACCTAACCCCAGGCTGCATGGCTTGCAGCTCCCAAAGAACCCCCTTCCTTCCACTTGAAGAGATGAGAGGGAAGAGTGGGGAGGACTTCGTCTTGAATCTTGGATACCAGCTTAGCCACAGCAGCATAGCGCAATAGTCAGAGTTGTGAGGCCCCTATTTCAAGCCCTACCTCTGGGGTGACATTACTGGACACACATTGGGCCAGAAGGGAAACTGCTACTTGAAGGAAAGTACCCAGTACTGGCAACATTCATTACCCATTACCTGAAGAGCCCTTTAGCTCTGAATAACAAGTAGTGATACCCAAAAGGTACTACTACACAGAGAGCCTTGGACGAGCCTCTGAGACTTGCTGGTTTCAGGTGAGACTCAATATTCCCAGCTGTGATGGCTATGGGGTGAGACTCTTTTTGCTTGAGAAAAGCAGAAGGAAAAGTTAAGAGGACATTTTATTGTACTTTAGGTACCAGCTCAGACACAGGAAGGTGGAGCACCAGGCAGGCTCATGGGGTTCCTGTTTCCAAGACTTGCCATATGAATAGCATTTATGGACCTTCTCTGGGCCAGAGGGGAGCCCCCAGTCCTGAGGGGTGAGTCCCACACCAGGCAGGATTTACTGCAAGCTGACTGAAGTGACCCTGTGCCTTAAAGAAACATTGGTGGTGGTCGGGTAGTACACCACAAGGCCTGTGGTGGTCATGGCTACAGGGTGAGGCTCCTCTATCTTTTGAAAGAAAGGAAAAGTGGAAAGGACTACATCTTGTGATTTGAGTGCTGGCTCAGCCACAGTATAATAAAACACCAGATAGACTTCTAAGGTGTTTGACTCTAGCCCCTGATGGCACTTCTGGACCTACCCAGGGCCTGAGGGATCTTGACACCCTGAAGGAAAAGATACAGACCTGCTTACTTTTGTCATCTGCTGATTGTAGAGCCCCATGGCCTTGAGAAAACATAGGCAGTAGCCATACTGGGCTTGGCCTGTTCCATAAAGCAGATAAAGCTTACATAACAACACCCAAGTTTCTTTAATACTGGAAAACGTTCTCAAAAAGGATGAGTATGAACAAGCTCAGACAATGAAGACTACAATAAATACCTGACTTTTCAATGTCCAGACACTAAGAGCATCTACTAGCATCACCACCATGCAGGAAAACATAACCTCACCAAATGAATCGAATAAGGCACCAGGGACCAATCATGGAGAAACAGAGATATGTGACCTTTCAGAAAGATAATTCAAATATCTATGTTGAGGAACTCAAAGAAATTCAAGATAACACAGAGAAGGGATTCAGAATCCTATCAGATAAATTTAACAAAGATTGAGACAATTTAAAAGAATCAAGCAGAAATTCTGGAGCTGAAAAATGCAAGTGACACACTGAAGAATGCATCAGACTCCTTTAGTAGTGGAATTTATCAAGCAGAAGAATTACTGAGCTAAAGACAGGTTATTTTAATATACACAGTCAGAGGAGACAAAAGAAAAAAGAAAAGAAAAACAATGAAGCATGCCTACACGTTGTAGAAAATAGTCTCAAAAGGGCAAATCTAAGAATTACTGGCCTCGAAGAGAAGGTAGACAAAAAGATAAGTTCATTCAAAAATTAATAATGGAGAACTTCCCAAACCTAGAGAATGATATCAATATCCAAGTACAAGAAGGTTATAGAACACAAAACAGATTTACCCCAAAGAAGACTACCTTGAGGTACTTAATAATTGAATTCCCAAAGACCAAGGATTAAGAAAGAATCCTACAAGAAAAAAGAAATAAAATTCAATGAAACTCCAGTATGTCTGGCAAAAGACCTTTCAGTGGATTACTTACAGGCCAGGAGAGAGTGGCATGACATATTTAAAGTGATGAAAGAAATAAATAAAGATGTTTACCCTAGAGTACGATATCCAGAGAAAATATACTTCAAACATGAAGGAGAGATAAAGGCCTTTCCAGACAAACAAAAGTGGAGAGATTTCAACACCAGACACGTCCTACGATAAATGCTGAAGGGACTACTTCAATCAGAAAGGAGAGGATGCTAGTGAACAACAAGTAATCATTGGAATGTATAAAACTCACTGATAATAAGTACAGAGGAAAACACAGAATATTATAACACTGTAGCTGTGGTGTGTAAACTAGTTTTATCCTAAGTAGAAAGACTTGAATATGTACTAGTCAAAAATAATAACTTCTCAATAACAGATAGTGTGATAAGATGTAAATAGAAAGAATAAACAAATTAAAAGTAGGGGGGTGAGGATAAGGTGCAAAATTTTTATTCATTTCCTTTTTGCTAACTTGTTTGTTTATGCAAAAGTGGTTATAAAATGGTATTTACAAACTTCATGGTAACCTCAAACTGAAAAACATACAAGGGAAACACAACAAATAAATACCAGGAAAATAAATCTTATTACCGGAGAAAATAACCTTCACTAAAGGAAAACAGAATGGAAACAAAGAAGGAAAAGAAGACCAAAAACAACCAGAAAACAAATTAAAAAATGACAGGAGAATGTCCTTATTTGTCAGTAAAGCATCAAATGTAAATGGACTAAACTCTCCAACTAAAAGACACAGCCTGATTGAATGGATGAAAAAACTAGACTCACTGATCTCTCATCTATAAGAAAAATACTTTAGCCTTTAAGGAAATACATACACTAAAAATTAAGAAATGGCAAAAGATATTCCATGCCAATGGAAACCAAAAAAGAACAGGAGTAGCTGTACTTATATCACACAACATAGATTCCAAGAAAAAAAAAACTGATAAAAGAGGAAAAGAAGGTAAATATATATTGATAAAATGGTAAGTTCAGCAAGATAATATAACGATTTTATGCATATATGCACCCAACATTTGAGGACACAGATATATTAAGAAAACATTATTTGAGCTAAAGAGAGATAAGCCCTAATACAATAACAGCTGGAGACTCAACACCCCACTTTCAGCATTGGGCAGATCTTCCAGACAGAAAATCAACAAAGAAACATTGGACATAATCTGCATTATAGATCAAATGTGTCAAACAGATATTTCCAGAACATTTCATCCAAGAACTGCAAAATACATATTGTTCTCCTCAGCACATGGATTATTCTCAATGATAGACCACGTTAGGTCACAAAACAATTATTAAGACACTCAAAAAATTGAAATATAAAACATCTCCTGTGACCTCAGTGGAATAAAACTAAAAATCAAAAATAATAAATCTTGGAAACTATAGAAATTCATAGAAATTAAACAATATGCACCTGAATGACCAGTGGATCACTTAGAAATTAAGAGAAAAATGGATAAAAAAATTGAAACAAATGATAATGGAAACACAACCTACCAAAACCCACAGAACACAGAAAATGCAGTACTAATAGCAAAGTTTATAGCTATAAGCACCTACATCAAAAAAGAGAAAAAACTTCAAATAAAAAATTTAATGCTTAATAGCAAAGAGCTAAAAAAGCAAGAGCAAACCAAACCCAAATTAGTAGATAATGTGAAATAATAAAGATCAGAGCAGAAATAAATACAACTAAAAGGAAAGAACAATAAAAAGCATCAATAAAAATAGTTTGCATTTTAAAAATTAAACAAAGTCGATAAAACTTCAGTGACAGAAACTGAGAAAAAAAAAGGAAATCCAAATAAGTAAAATCAGACATTAAAAAAGAGACATTACAACTGATACTGCAGATATTCAATAGCTCATTAGCAGCTACTATGAGCAACTACTTGCCAGTACACTGGAAAATCTCAAGGAAATTGTTAAATTCTTAGACATGTACAACCTACGAAGGTTGACTCATAAAGAAATCTAAAACCTAAATAGACCAATAGCAAATAATGAGATCAAAGCTGCAATAGTCTCTCAGTAAAGAAATGCCTAGGACCCTGTGATTTTACTGCTGAATTCTACCAAACATTTAAAGAACTTATACCAGTTCTACTCAAATTATTCTAAAAAATTGAGGAGAAAGGAATACTCCAGATTAAATGTACACGGCCAGTATTACCCTGATAACAACACCAAATAAAGACATATCAAAAACATAAAACTACAGTCCAATATATTTGATAAATATGGTGCAAAAATTCTCAACAAAATAGTAGCAAACAAAATTCAACAATATATTAGAAAGATTGTTCATTATGACCAATTGGGATTAACTCTGGGATTCAAGGATGGTTCAACATATGTAAAACAATTAACATGATACATCATTTCAGCAGAATAAAGGATAAAATCAATATGAATGTTTCAGTTGACACTGAGAAAGCATTCAATAAAATTCAACATCCCTTTATAATAAACGCCCTCAAAAAAAACAGAATAGAAAGAAGATACTTCAACATAATAAAAGTCATATGTGATAGACCCATGCCTAGTATCCTCCAAAATGGAAACAAACTAAAAGCCTTTCCTATACAATCTAGAATATTATGACAATGCCCACTTTCTCTACTGTTATCAGTATAGTACTGAAAATTCTATAGGTGGAGGAATCTATAGAGATATAAAGGGCATCCATGTTGAAATGGGAGAAGTCAAATTATGATGATTTGCAGATGATATAATCATCTATTTGGGAAAACATAAAGACTCCACCAGAAAAACTATTATAACTAATAAACAAATTCAGTAAAGTTGAAAATCAACATACAAAACTCAGTAGTATTTCTATATGCCAACAATAAATGATTTGAAAAATAAATTTTAAAAGTAATATCACTGACAATAGCCACAAATAAATTGAAATACAAATGAATTTACGGAAAGAAGTGAAATATTCTCTGTAATAAAAACTATAAAAAAAACTAATGGAAAAATTTGAGGACATCAAAAAATGGAAAGATATTCCATGTTCATGGATAGAATGAATCAAAATTGTTAAAATGTCCATACTACCCAAAGCAATGTAAAGATTGAATGAAATAACGATTACATTCCCAATGGCATTTTCACAGAAATAGAAGAAACAGGCCTAAAGTTTATATAGAGCAATGAAAGATCAAGAATGGCCAATGCAAAAAGAATGAGACTGGAGGAATTACATTCTCTGACTTCAAATTATACTACAGCACTCTAGTAGGCAAAACAGAATGGTACTGGCATAAAAAAGACACATAGACTAATGGAACAGAATAGAGAACACGGAAATAAATCCACTTACCTACAGTGAATTCATTTTCAAAAAAGTTGCCAAGAACAAACATTGGAAAAAAGAAAACTTCTTTAGTAAATAGTGCTGGAAATAATGGATATTCATATGCAGAAGAATAATACTAGATCCTTATCTTGTACCATATACAAAAATCCAATCAAAATGGATTAAAGACTTGGCTGGGCACAGTGGCTTACATCTGTAATCCTAGCATTTTGGGTGGCTGAGGCACGCAGATCACTTGAGGTCAGGAGTTTGAGACCAGCCTGGCCAACATGGTGAAAACCCACCTCTACTAAAATTACAAAAATTAGCCAGGTGTGGTGGCACATACCTGTAATCCCAGCTACTAAGTAGGCTGAGGCACAAGAATCACTTGAACCTGGGAGGTGGAGGTTGCAGTGAATTGAGAGCACAACAATTGCACTCCAGCCTAGATGAGTGGTCTCACAAAAAATAAATAAATAAATAAATGGATTAAAGCCTTAAATCTAAGATTTAAGTAATTTCAAACTATGAAACTACCACAAGACAACATTGGAGAAACTCTCCAGGACTTTGAACTGGGAAAATATTTATTGAGTAATACTTCACAAGTAGTAGCAACCAAAGCTAAAATAGACAAATGGAATTACATTAAGTTAAAAAGCTTCTGCAAAACCAAAGAAACAATCAATAAGGTGAAAGGACAACCCACAGAATGGGAGAAAATATTTGTAAACTACTCATTTGAGAAGGGATTTCTTACCAGTATATAAAAGGAGCTCAAACAACTGTATAGGAAAAAAATTAATAATTTGATTACAAAATTGGAGACAAGTCATCATCATGGCAAATAGGAGGCAGGACTAGACTGCAGCTCCAACTCTGATGAACAGAGCAGTATGTGGAATCTCGCATTGTAGATTTTAGCTGCAGATCAACTGCAAGAACAAACCAGCAATCCTGAGAGGACCCACAGACCCTTTGAAGGGAGCCGACTATTCCTACAGAATCTGGGAGACACCCCAAATAATGTGAATGTCCCAGTTGCAAAAATGGGAAAGGGAGAGCTGCCTCTTCTGAACAAACACCACCACTGGAAAAACTGAAGGTCTGCTTGTGGGAAAAATTTCTGAACTTACCTGGAGCTGAGTCAATTTAGAGAGCCAAGCAAAATACAGGCATAGAGGAAGCATCAGAAAGGCCCTGGGAGCTCGTTCAGTATCCAATCAAGCCATTCCTGCCTGGCACCACAGAGAGCCATCAGGAGGGTGGCCAGGTGGTGGGGGAGGAAACACCACAGGGAGAAGGAAATATCCAGTTGAATTTTGTAACAACTTGAACAGTGCGAGAAGCCTCCTGACCAGAACTCAGGGGAGGGTGCAAATCTGGTGTGCAGACTCCATGGACAGGGGAAGAACTAAGCCCTTTTCTCTCACAGCTGGAAGGCAGGTGTCATGAGGCAAGTTTTCAAGCTTGACTTGCCCACTGCTTGGAAACAGACTCGGTACTGTTAGGGGGACACAGTGGGAGTGAGACTGGTCCTTTGGTTTGAGAGGAAGCTGGGTGAGGCCTCTGACAGCCGGCTTTCCCCCACTTCCTTGACAACCTGCATGACTCAGCAGTGGCAGCCATAATCCTCCTAGATACACAACTCCATTGACCTGGGAACCTCACTCCCATCCCCCACAGCAGCAGCAGCAAGACCTACCCAAGGGCAGTCTGAGCTCAGACTTGCCTAGCCCTGCCCCCACTTGGTGGTCCTTCCCTATCTAACCTGGTAGCTGAAGACAAAAGGCATATAATATTGGGAGTTCTAGGGCTCTGCCCACTGCTGGTTCCTCTCCATACTAACACAGCTGATGCTCTCTGGAAAGTTCCACCTTCTGGAATGAAGCCAACCAGCACAAAAATAGAGCATTAAACTACCAAAGCTAAAAATCCTCACAGAATCCATAGCACCTCCCCTCCACCTCCACTGAAACAGGCACTTACGTCCATGGCTGAGAGACCCATAGATTGTTCACATCACAAAACTCTGTGCAGACAACCCCCAGTACCAGCCTGGAGCCAGGCAGACTTGCTGGGTGGCTGGGCTCAGAAGAGAGACAACAATCACTGCAGTTTGGCTCACAGGAAGCCACATCCATATGAAAAGGGAGAGAGTACTATATCAAGGGAACACCCTGTGAGACAAAAGAATCTGAACAACAGCCTTCAGCCCTAGTCTTTCCCTCCGACAGAACCTATCCAAATAAGAAGGAACCAGAAAATCCACTCTGGTAATATGACAGAATAAGACTCTTTAACACCCCCCAAAACATCACACTAGTTAACCAGCAATGGATCCAAACAAAGAAATCCCTGATTTACCTGAAAAAGAATTCAGGAGTTTAGTTATAACGCTAATTAGAAAGACACCAGAGAAGGTGAAGCCCAATGCAAGGAAATCCAAAAATCGATACAAGAAGTGAAGGGAGAAATATTCAAGGAAATAGATAGCTTAAAAAAATCAAAAATTTAGGAAACATTGGATACAGTTATAGAAATGTGAAGTGCTCTGGAAAGTCTCAGCAATAGAATTGAACAGTAGAAGAAAGAAATTCAGAGCTTGAAGACAAGGTCTTCAAATTAACCCAATCCAACAAAGACAAAGAAAAAAGAAAAGAAAATATGAATAAACCCTCCAAGAAGTCTGGGGTTATGTTTAATGAAGAACCTAAGAATAATTGGTGTTCCTGAGAAAGAAGAGAATTATAAAAGCTTGGAAAACACATGTGGGGGAATAACTGAGGAAAACTTCCCCAGCTTTGCTAGAGACCCAGACATCCAAATACAAGAAGCACTTAGAACACCTGGGAAATTCATTGCAAAAAGATCATCACCTAGACACATTGTCATCAGGTTATCCAAACTTAAGACCAAGGAAAGAATCTTAAGAGCTGTGACACAGAAGAACCAGGCAACCCATGAAAGAAAATATATAAGATTAACAGCAGATTTTTCAGCAGAAACCCTACAAACTACAAGAGATTGGGGCCCTATCTTCAGCCTCCTCAAACATAACAATTGTCAGCCCAAATTTTGTGTCCACTGAAACTAAGCATTACATATGAAGGAAAGATACAGTCTTATCCCATCTTAGAAAAACCATGGATGGGGAATTCTATAACTAGAGGCCTTTTCTGGTTTGCTGCTATTCCTCTCCTTAAAAGGTCACTACTTAATATTTACATTATGATGCAACAAGGATGGAAGGCAACAGTAGGAGCCATAGAAGCACAATAACAATCCACATACTTTTTAGGCTCAGCAGTAGCACAGAACAGACGGGCCCTAGATGTCCTCACAGGTGAGGTAGGTGGTACCTGTGCAGTCTTAAATGAAACATGCTGCCTCTGGATCAACACCTCTAGTCAAGTCGAAGAAAACCTACAGATGCTTAAAGATCAAGTGAAAATCATTCGCAGGTTAAGAGAAAATGCAGTCTCCAGCCCTGGATGGCTACAATCCCTCTTTAATAAATTCCAATCTTCACTGTGGACCTGGTTAGTTCCATCATTAAGCCCCCTATTCATATGTTTTATATTAATGTTTGGACCTTGTCTAACATTGTTAATGTTACTATAACTTGAATTACTTCCTCTCACCTAGAAGCAATCAAACTCCAAATGGTGCTGCAGACCGAACCACATATGTACACACCTTTCTTCCGAGGACACTTAGATCAACCCCAGGAGGAACCCTAGCTGCTGTTCCCCACACAATGCCCCTTTTCAGCAGGAAGTAGCCAGAGCGTCATCACCCAACACCTCCTAACATCAATTAGGATTACCACTCCAGAGTGGGGAATGATACAGAAGTTAAGAAGGAATTACTTAGGCAGATAGCAAGGGCATGGGAGTCCTTGGTAAGGCTTTTCTTTTTAATGAAAAGCAGCCCCAAATCATTTTCTAACAAAGAGAAGCTTGTAAGCTGGGAGCTTGCACAGGTGAATGCTGGCAGGAACTAAGAACTAGACATTTTCAAAAGGCAGCTCCATCTTCTCTTTTCTGCCAGTCACGTGTACTGTAAAGGAGTAGACAAGATGGTGCCGATCAACTGGAATGCCCATTTGCATAAGAAGATTAGGATGGGGTGACCAGCTTTTCCCATGCGCTATGTAAAAGTCATACCTGATCAAACCAATCTGTGAGCTCTATACAAATCAGACACTGCACTCTCCAGCCTGCCTATAAAATCTGCTGCAGTTCATCACCTCTCCCCTTTTTCAGATGTCTGTCTCTCTTTGGCAAGGAACTGCTCTATTCTTTCCTTTCTTCTGTCTATTAAACTTTCCACTCCTTAATGCTCCCCCAAAAGAAAAGATACAGTCTTTTTCAGACAAACGAATACTGAAAGAAATCTCCACTACCAAGCCACCACTATAAAAACTGCTAAAAGGAGCTCTAAATCTTGAAATAAACCCTGAAAACACATCAAAACAGAACCGCTTTAAAGCATAAATCACACAGGACCTATAAAACAAAAATACAAGTTAAAAAGCAAAAACAAAAATGCCAAAGTACACATGAAATAAAGAGCATGATGAATGCAATGGTACCTCATATTTCAATGTAACATTGAATGTAAATGACCTAAATTCTCCACTTAAAAGATACAGAACTGCAGAATGGATAAGAACTCACCAACGGACTATCTGCTGCCTTCAGGAGACTCACCTAACACATGAGGCCTCAGTTAAAGTTAAATTAAAGGGATGGGAAAAGGCATTTCATGCAAATGGACACCAAAATCAACCAAGGGTAACTATTCTTATATCAGGCAAAACAAACTTCAAAGCAACAGCAGTTAAAAGAAACAAAGAGGAAAATTATATAATGGTATAAGGCCTCGTCCAAGAGGAAATATTACAATCCTAAACATATGCACCTGACACTGGAGCTCCCAAATGTATAAACAATTACTAATAGACCCAAGAAATGACACAGACAGCAACATAATAATCATAGGGGACTTCATTACTCCACTGACAGCACCAGACAGATTATCAAAACATAAAGTCAACAAAGAAACAATGAGTTTAAACTATACTTTGGAACAAATGGACTTAACAGATATATACAGAACATTTCATCCAACAACCACAGAAAACACATTCTATTCAATAGCACATAGAACTTTCTCCAAGATAGGCCATATGATAGGCCATAAAACCAGCCTCAATAAATTTAGAAAACTGAAATTCTATCAACCACTCTTTCAGACCATGGGATAAAACTAGAAATTGACTACAAAAGGAACCTTCAAAATCATGCAAATACATGGAAATTAAATAACCTGCTCCTGAATGAGCAGTGGGTAAAAAACAAAATCAAGATGGAAATTTAAAAATTATTTGAACTGAATGACAATTATGACACAACCTACCAAAACCTCTGGGATACAGCAAAGGCAGTGTGAAGAGGAAAGTTCATAGACCTAAATTCCTACATTAAAAAAAAAAAGAAAAAAGAAACCTGAAAGAGCACAAATAGAAATTCTAAGGTCACACCTCAAGGAACTAGAGAAACAAGAACAAAAAAAGACCAAACCCAAACCCAGCAGAAGAAGGGAAATAACCAAGATCAGAGCAGAACTAAATGAAATTGAAACAAAAGAAACAATACAAACGATAAATAAAACAAAAAACTGGTCCTTAAAAAGATAAATAAAATTGGTAGACCATTAGCAAGATTATCCAAGAAAAGAGAGAGAAAATCCAAATAACCTCACTAAGAAATGAAACATGAGATATTACAACTAACACTACTGAAATACAAAAGATCATTCAAAGCTTCTAGGAACACCTTTACACACATAAACTAGAAAACCTAGAAGTGATGTCTACATTCCTGAAAAAATACAACCCTCCTAGCTTAAATCAGAAATAATTAGATACCCTGAACAGACCAATAACAAGCAGTGAGAAAAGAAAAGCCCAGGATCTAGCTAACTGAATCCAACAACATATTAAAAAGATAATCCACCATGATCAAGTGGATTTCATACCAGGAATGCAGGGATGGTTTAACATATGCAAGTCAATAAATGTGATACATCACATAACAGAATTTAAAACAATAATCACATGATCATCTCAATAGATGTATAAAAAGCATTAAATAAAATCCAGCATTCCTTTATGATTAAAACTTCAGCAAAATCGGCATACAAGGGACATACCTCAATGTAATAAAAGCCATCTATGACAAAACCACAGCCAACATAATACTGAATGGGAAAAAGTTGAAGGCATTCCCTCTGAGAGCTGGAACAAGGATGCCCGCTCTCACCACGCATCTTCAACATAGTACTGGAAGTCCTAGCCAGAACAATCAGACAAGAGAAAGAAATAAAGGGCATCCACGTTTGTAAAGAAGAAGTCATACTGTCACTGTTTGTTGACGATATAATCGTTTACCTTGAAAAACCTAAAGACTCCTCTAGAAAGCTCTTAGAACTCAAAAGATTTCAGCAAAGTATCCAGATACAAGACATCCCATGCTCATGGATGGGTAGAATATTGTAAAAATGACCATACTGCCAAAAGCAATCTACAAATTCAGTGCATTTCTCATCAAAATACCACCAGCTTCTTCAAACAATTAGAAAAAAAATTTCTAAAATTCATATGGAATCAAAAAGAGCCCGCATAGCCAAAGCAAGACTAAGTGAAAAGAACAAATTGGAGGCATCACACTACCTGATTTTAAACCATATTATAATGCCATAATTAACAAAACAGTGTGGTACTGGTATAAAAATGGGCACATAGACCAATAGAACAGAATAGAGCACCCAGAAATAAAACCAAGTAATTACAGCCAACTGATCTTTGACCAAGGAAACAAAAACATAAAGTGGGGATAATTGACTACCCACATGTAGGAGAATGAAACTGTATCCTCATGTCTCACATTATACAAAAATCAACTCAAGATGGATTAAGGGCTTAAATCTAAGACCTGAAACTATAACAATTCTAGCAGATAACATTGAAAAAACCCTTGTCGACATTGGCTTAGGCAAGGATTTCATGAACAAACCCCAAAAGCTAATGCAGTAAAAACAAAGACAAATAACTGCAACTTAATTAAACTAAAGAGCTTTTGCACAGCAAAAGGAACAGTCAGCAGAGTAAACAGACAGCCCACAGAGTGGGAGAAAAGCTTCACAGTCTATATATCTGACAAAGGACTAATATTCAGAATCTTCAACAAACAAAAACAAATCAGGAAGAAAAAAAAGCAATCCCATCAAAAAGTGGGCTAAGGACATGAATAGACAACTCTCAAAAGGAGATATACAGGGTGGCTCACGCCTGTAATCTCAGCACTTTGGGATGCCAAGGCAGGCGGATCACGAGGTCAAGAGATTGAGACCATCCTGGCTAACATGGTGAAAACCCATCTCTACTAAAAATACAAAAATTAGCTGTGCGTGGTGGCACGCACCTGTAGTCCCAGCTACTCGGGAGGCTGAGGCAGGAGAATAGCTTGAACCCAGTAGGCAGGGGTTGCAGTGAGGCGACATTGTGCCACTGCACTCTAGCCTGGTGACAGAATGAGACTCCGTCTCAAAAAAATAAAATAAAAATTTTCAACATCACTAATGATCAGGGAAATGCAAATCAAAACCACAATGTGATACCACCTCACTCCTGCAAGAATAGCCATAATCAAAAAAATCAATAAACAGTAGATGTTGGCATGGATGTGGTGATCAGGGAACACTTCTACACTGCTAGTGGGAATATAAACTAGTACAACCTCTATGGAAAACAGGGTGGAGATTCCTTAAAGTACTGAAAGTAGAACTACAATTTGATCCAGCAATCCTACTACTGGGTATCTACCCAGAAGAAAAGAAGTCTTTATACAAAAAACATACTTGCACATGCGTGTTTGTAGCAGCACAATTCACGAGAGCAAAATCATGAAACCAACCCAAATGCCCATCAATCAACGAGTGGATAAAGAAACTGTGGTATGTGTGTGTGTGTGTATACGTATATATATATACGTATACACACACACACACACATATATATACATGTATATATACACATATATATATATGATGGAAATCTACTCATCCATAAAAATAAATTTATTAACAGCATTTGCAGTGACCTGAATGAGATTGGAGATCATTATTTTAAGTGAAGTAACTCAGGAATGGAAAACCAAACATCGTATATTCTCACTAATATGTGGAAGCTAAGATATGAGGATGCAAAATCATAAGAATGGTACAATGGACTGTGGGGACTTGAGGGGAAGAGTGTGATGGGGGCGAGAGATTAAAGACTACAAATATGGTGGAGTGTATACTGCTCAGGTGATGGATGCACTAAAATCTCACAAATCACGAATAAAGAACTAAATCATGTAATCAACTACCACCTGTATTCCAATAACTTATGAAAAAAAGTTTAATTTTTTTAATTGGGTAAAAATTTTAATAGACATTTCTCAAAGAAGACATACAAATGGCAAACAGGCATATGAAAAAGTGCTCAATACCATTGCTCATCAGTGAAATGCAAATCAAACCTATAATGAGATATCATCTCACCCCAGTTAAAATGGTTCGTATACAAAAGACAGGCAATAACAAATGCTGGCCAGAATGTGGAGACAAGGAAACCCTACCACACTGTTAGTGAGAATATAAATTATGACAACCACTGTAGAGAACAGTTTGGAGTTTCCTCAAAAAGACTAAAAATCGAGCTACCATATGATCCAGCAATTCAACTGCTGGGTATATATCCAAAAGAAAAGACATTAATATATCAAAGAGATATCTACATTGCCATGCTTGTTGCAGTACTGTTCACAATAGCCAATATTTGGAAACAACCTAAGTGTCTATCAACAGATGAATGGATAAACAAAATGTGGTACATATACACAATGGAGTACTATTTAGCCAAAATAAGAATGAGATCTTGTCATTTTCAACAACATGGATGGAGCTGAATATCAATGTTAAGTGAAATAAGCAAGGCACAGAAAGAAAAACATTGCAAGTTCTCACTTATTTGTGGAATCTAAAAATCAAATCAATTGAACTCATGAACTTAGAGAGTAGAATGATGGTTACCAGAGGCTGGGAAGGGTAGTTGGGGGTGAGGAATTGGGGATGGTTAACAGATATGAAAATATTTAGAAAGAATAAATAAGATCTAATATTTGAAAACACAAAAGGGTGTCTGTAGTCATTAATAACTTAATAATACATTTAAATATAACTTAAAGAGTAAAATTGGATAGTTTGTAACACAAAGGATATATACTTGAGAAAATGGATATACCATTCTCCATGATATTATTGTTATGCATTGCATGGCTGTATGAAAACATCCTATATACATCACAAATGTCTACATTTACTATGTACACACAAAAAATTAAAAATAAAAATTTTACAAAAGAAGAAAGATATATAATAGAAATATAGATGAGGGACAAATTGTTGTTATGTAACTATCTAACTAGTTATCTAGCTAGATGGAGATATATCTACCAGAAAATGTCACATCTAAAATGTATAAAAAACTAATATTATTAAATAATAAAATCAGCCAGTAAGCCCAATAGAAAAGTAGGCAAAAAAGTCTTGCAGAAACTAATTTCATAGAATATGAAAATTGCCAAAAATATCACCTACATCATTAGACATCAGGGAATTGCAAATTGTAACCAAAATGAGACCCATACACACACACACACACACACACACACACACACAGAAACACACACACACCCAGATGGCTACAAATATGCATGTCAAATACAAAATATTTATGGTAATATAAAAAAGTCAAAACTTTAATACACTTTTACGGGGAATGTAAATTAACACAAGTAATTTGTAAAACATTTGAACATACACAGAGCTTATGTCTCAGCAACTACATTCTCACATGCATTCCAACAGATTGGCATATAGCAGGTTTCCAAAAGTCATGCAGTAAATTGTTCCTATCAGCAGAATTTATGGTATTTCTAAACTGGAAGCTACTTAAATGCCCAGTGACAATAGGATGGGAATATAAATTGTGCTGTATTTACACAGTAAAATATTCTACAGTTATGAGATTAAATGAAGTATAAGAAAACATGGCAGAAGATACAAATTTTGCAAATATAATGTTGAGTGAAAAAAGCCAAAAATGAGAGTGTAGTGGTCAGTTTTATGTGTCAATTTAGCTACGCTGTAGTCCCCAATATTCAACAAAACACAAATATAGGTGTTTCTGTGAAGATATTTTGTAGATGTAATTAAAGTTCATAATTGATTGACTTTAAGTAGGAGAAATTTTTCTAGATAATCTTGATGGGCCTGATTCTATCAATAGAAAGTCTTTAAGAACAGAACTGAAGCTTCCCTGGGGAAAATAAATTCTGCATGTGGACTGAAGCTTCAGCCCATGTCTGGAAGTTTCGGTTTTCCTTTTCTAACATCGTCACCTAAGGAATTCAGCCATACATATCCAGCCTCCACAATCATGTAAACCAATTCATTGCAAGAAATTATACATATAATAAGATTATACACACATATATATTATATATATTATTTATTGCAAGGAATACACACACACATATATACACACATATACACACACTACTTACTTTGTTTCTCTGCTTGAAACCAACTGTATCTGGGCTAATACAAGGATTTATTTACATAAAGTACAAAAATTTGCAAAATCAATCTAACCTGTAAAATATTAGGATAGTCGATACCCTTAGTGTAAGTAACAGGAAGAATAATATAGTAACATTCCAGGTTAGCAGTAATATGTGTCTCTTGATCTTGATGCTGGTCATATAAGCATTCACTTTGTTAAAATTCAGTGAGCTCCAACCTTATTTACTATGTATATGAAATTACTTTTCTGTATGCCATACTTTAATAAAACATAGAAAAAAAGGAAGAGATGGAATTAAGAGAATAAGGGAAGTACCAGAATAGATGAACAGCGATTCAGACTTATTAATAAGGCACACTACTCAATTGCTGATAAAACCATTTAGTTGGCATAATGAGACTGTTTCTTGAGTGTTGTAAGAATCTGGAGGCTAGAGTCAACTGCCTCTACTAAGGCATTATGAAGAGGAAGAGTAAGCTAACATATTGAAGGAATTTCCTTATTTATTTATTTATTTATTTATTTAGAGATGAAGTTTTGCTGTTGTTGCCCAGGCTGGAGTGCAATGGCTTTATCTCAGCTCACCGCAACCTCCGCCTCACCGGTTCAAGCGATTCTCCGGCCTCAGCCTCCCGAGTAGCTGGAATTACAGGCATGCGCCACCATGCCTGGATAATTTTGTATTTTTAGTAGAGACAAGATTTCTCCATGTTGGTCAGGCTGGTCTCGAACTCCCCACCTCAGGTGATCTGCCTGCCTCAGCCTCCCAAAGTGCTGGGATTACAGGAATGAGCCACCATGCCTGGCCGGAATTTCCTTATATCTCCTTATTGTCTTTCAATATTTCTTTAGTGTCTTTCATTTTTAGAACCTAATAAAAATGCTGCTAGCAAAGAAATTTGGACAGCAAGTTTTCAAAGTTCTGGTCTTAGGATAACAGAGCAGAGAAAGGTTGATTTGGAACTGAGATTTAGTAGTAAAAAAGAAAAGTAAACAATCTAATATAGTTGTGAGACAAAATGAGATAATGCATTTGAAGTTCTTAGCCAGTGTTTGAAGCATTGGCATACACAAGAAAATATTATTTTTTATGATGTTATAAATATAACCTAAGATATATCAGATGTATCTTGGGACAAAATATTTGGGCACATAAAACACATCATTTTCACCATGTTGGTACAAATTTACTTAGTCTCACTATCTCTAACAAATGGCAGTTCCATGATAAGTCAGAATCCCATAAAGAATTCATGGGAAAAAACATTACCAAGATTGTAACAAGAAAAATTAAAGTAAGAAGCCTATTAGTTTATTTAACGAGAGATTTAAAAATACTAATCCCTCATTCTAACAAGAGTTACATTTTCCCTTATGAATTATCGATCAAATTCTTCAGAAATGATGGCGTGTTATAATCAACCTAGGTTTGATCCTTGATTTGTGCAATCCTTGAATATTATTAAAACAATGCTGAGTCTGATAATTTTCAAATTCAGAAATATAATAAATAGCAAACAACTATTAGCTAAAGAGAAGGCTACTGTGTCAGTTAAGGATTGCCATAGTAGCAAATAGCCCGTATATCTCAGATCCTTACAGTAAAGCAAATGTTTAGTTCTTGCTCATATTACATGTCTCTTACAGGTCTATAGCTCTAAAAATTTCTAAGTAGCACCCAGGATAAAGGCAGTGCCTTTACCTGGTATTTAAAGGTAATGTAGCAAAGAGAAAGAAAATATAACTCAGAGATATACCCAGAAAGTGGAACAAGTTACTTTTATTCACATTTTATAGAATAAAACAAGTTGCATGGCAAAGTTTGAGATCTTGGAGCAGGAAATTATAATTGGCTGAGAAGGGGCAGTGAATATTTCAACAGTATTGAAATCTGCCACATCTCCTGTACAATAGCACTCAGACAATTCATAACCATATTATCAACTTATGAAGGAAAGTTGATTAATTTTCAAGTAATTAAAAATTGTGCAAAGTTTATGGATTATTATATATTTAAATATAGTTCTTTTCACAGAAGATGGGTCAGGAAATCAAATGATCTCTTACAAATATACATAGAAAATAATGCAATAGGGTAAGGAATGCAATAAATTTTTTTAATGCGGGTTACAAAAAGTAAACATAAGTTCAGTAGAATACAAATTTTTTAAAAAAGTAATGAGAATGCCATCAGCAGGATGGCAGAAGAGGGGGTCCCAAGCCTGTGTCGTCCCAGAGAAACAAATATTTGGTGGCATAAACAGACAAATTTGACTTTGTGAGAGTCTTGGGATCCAAATAGCTGGTTATAAAACAATTGTTAGATCCAAGGCCAAGGAGTGCCTCTTTGAGAAGTAAGTCCACACACTGCTGCCTTCAGCCACTTCCACCAAAGGACTTGGGAGCCACACCTGTGTGTGCTCCTAGTAATAGGACCTGCAGACCTTGGACCCAACTATGGTCTTTAAAGCAGTTCCATGACCCAACTCCAGTCCAGCTTTCCCTTGGTCTGGAGGCAGTACTGCTCATAGGCCTGGTGGAAGCCACAACCATATGTGGCCCTGGTAGCAGACTTGCCAACTATTAACCCAACTGTAGACTTGGCATGGACACAGAACCTGTTTTCATTCCCACTTAACTGTGATCTCCATCAGCCAGGCGAAGTCTTTACCTGCAGAAATAAGTCTATCAAGACTGGAAGAAGAGTCTTTCCCTTCAAACATAGATGCTAAGGAAAAGCTACATAGATTATAAAGAATGAGGCAAATATAACATCGGTAAAGGAAATAAAAAAGCTCCAGTAAGTAAGTGAAAGAAATGAAGATTCATAAAGTGCTTGGCAAAAAATTCAAAATGTTCATTTTACAGAGACTCAACAAACTACAAAAGAACACAGAAAACTAAACAAAACTGGGAAAACAATACATGAACAAAATA
Organism: Homo sapiens; assembly: GCF_000001405.40. Classification (NCBI taxonomy): domain Eukaryota; kingdom Metazoa; phylum Chordata; class Mammalia; order Primates; family Hominidae; genus Homo; species Homo sapiens. The sequence continues at coordinate 104,335,411 of NC_000003.12, forward strand.
AGAAGTTCAATTAAAAATAGAATTTATTTTAAAACAGGAATCCAGAAACAAGTACACAATAACTGAAATTAAAAATTCATTACAGAGTTTCAACAGTATAGCTGATTACGCAGAAGGAAAAAAACACAAATTTGAAGACAGGGCATTTAAAATTATAAAGTTAGAGGAACAAAAAAGACAAAGAAACAAATGAAAAAGAGTGAAGAAAGCCTACCTGACTTATGGCACACAACATAAACCAATATACACATATAAAATATTCAGAAGGAGTAGATAGACAAAGGAAAGAAAGTTTATTTTAAAAAATAATGACAGAAAAACTCCTAAAACTAGGAAGAAAATTGAACATCCAGATCCATGAGGCCCAAAAAACTCCATATAGGCTGAACATTAAGTTTTCACTGAGATACATTATAATTAAATTGTCAAAAGTGAAAGCCAAAGAGAATTATGAAAGCAGCCAGAGAAACGTGTCTCATTACATGAATGGAAACTTCTTCAGAACTATCAGCAGACTTTTCAGCAGAAAACTCCATCCAGCGGAGAAAGGGTAGATAAATGTAAAGTGCTGAAAGAAAAAGTTGTCACCAAAGAATACTCTTCCCAGCAAAAACTGTCCTTTAAAAATGAATGAGAGATAAAGACTTCCACAAATAAACAAAACCTAAGACAGTTCATAATTTGTACATCTGCCTTGCAAGAAATGCTAAGGTTAACTCACCAAGTTGAAATGATAGGACACAGCCGGGCGCAGTGGCTCACGTCTGTAATCCCAGCACTTTGGGAGGCCGAGGCCGGTGGATCACGAGGTCAGGAGATGGAGACCATCCTGGCTAACACGGTGAAACCTCGTCTCTACTAAAAATACAAAAAATTAGCCGGACGTCGTGGCGGGCGCCTGTAGTCCCAGCTACTCTACTCGGCAGGCTGAGGCAGGAGATTGGCGGGAACCCGGGAGGCGGAGCTTGTAGTGAGCCGAGATCGTGCCACTGCGCTCCAGCCTGGGGGACAGAGCGAGACTACGTCTAGAAAAAAAAAAAAAAAAAAGAAATGATAGGACACATGCACGTTGTGCACATGTACCCTAGAACTTAAAGTATAATAATAAAAAATAAAAATGGAAATAAAAAAGAAATGATAGGACACTAGTTAGAAACATGAAAAAGTATGAAGGTATAAAATTCACAGGTAAAGGTAATTATATAGTCTAATCCTATAAAGATTAGAGTCCAGAATGTTCTAATACTGAAATGGTGGTGAATAAATAACTTTCACTTTAATACAAAAGTTAAAAGACAAAAGTATTACAAATACCTACAGTACAATAATTTGTAAATAGTTACACAATGTAAAAATATGTAATTTGTTACATTAATAATAACATGTAAGGAGGGAATAAAAGTATAATATTTCTTTGCTATCAAGGCTAATTTTTTATTCATTTAAAGTAGACTGCTATAACTACAAAATATTTTACATAAGCCTCCCAGTAATCACAAAGACAAAACCTGTAGTGGATACACAAAAGATACAGAGAGAAATAAATCAAAGCATAACATTACCAGAAATTATCAAAACACAAAGGAAGATAGTAAAAAAAGGAAGAAAGGAAGAGAGAAATTGCAAAATAGAAAATAATTAACAAAATTGCAATAGTGAGTTCTTACCTTTCAAAAATTGCTTTAAATGTAAATTGATTAAATTCTCCAAAAGACTTAGAATGGCTGAATGGATAACAAAAACAAAACAAAAATAAGATCCAACTATACATTTGCCTATAAGAGACTCACTATATCTTTAAGGACATACATAGGTCAAAAATGAAAGGACAGAAAAAACATACCTCAAGCAAATTGTCACCAAAAAAGAGCAGGAGTGTCTATACTTACATCAGACAAAATAATCTTTATGTTAAAAAAAGTCATGTGAGACAATAAGATTATTATATAATGATAAAGGGGTCAATTCGTTAAGAGAACATAACAACTATAAATACATATGAACCCAACATTGAAGCACCTCAATATATAAAGCAAATATTAACAAAATTGAAGGGAAAAATAAACAACAAACACTAATCGCAGAGGACATTTCAACAATAAATAGATCATCCAGGCAGAAAATGAATAAGAAAACAGTGGACTTAAGCAATATTGTAGAATAAATGGAACTAAAAGACATACAAAGAATACCATCAAACAATAGCAGAATACATACTCCTCTCAAGCACAAAAGAACATTCTCCAAGATGTATCTTGTTTTGGGCTATAAGTCTTAACAAATTTAAGAAGTAAGAAATTATGTGAAGCATCTTTTTTATCACCATGATATGTAATTATAAATCGTAATAAGAATAAATTTGGAAAATTCACAAACATGGAAATTAAAAAGAACACTCTTGGATGGTCAATGCATTAAAGAAGAAATAAAAGAAGAAATAAAAAATATTTTGAGACAAATGAAAATGAAAACATATCAAACCTTTTGGGTTTCAGCAAAATAATTTATAACAGAAAAGTTTATAGCAGTAAACAACTACATAAAGGAAAAAAAACTAAAATAAATGGCCTAATGTTACACCTGAAAAAAGTAGAAAAAGAGCAAACTAAGACCAAAATCAGTAGAAGGAGATAGTGATCAGAGCAGGAAGAAAAGGAATTAGAAACTAGAATAACAACAGAAAAGGTCAATAAAACTAAGAGCTGTTTTTTGAAAAGATGAACAAAATCACCAGTTTTTAGCTAGTACAGGAAAAAAAAGAAGATAAAGGTAATCAGAAATGAGGAGGTGACATTACAACAAAAACCACAGAAATACAAAGGATCATAAGAGATTTCTATGAACAGTTATACCCCAAAAAGTTATCTAACTTAATCAGACAAATATCCAGAAACAAACAACTTACCTTGACTGAATTATGAAGAAACAGAAAATCTGAACAGACCAAAAACTAGTTAAGAGATTGAATCAGAAACAGTTTGCTATAATAGAAAAAGCCATAATCACATGGCTTAGCTGCTGAATTCAATCAAACATTTAATCCAAAACTTTTTAAACTCTTCCAAATTAGTGAAGACGAAAGAACACTTCTAAATTAATTTTATAAGGCCAGTATTACCCTAATATCAAAGCCAGACAAGTATATTACATAAAAATTACATGTTATTAGCCCTGATGAACATAAATTCAACAAAACTCAACAAAATACTGCAAACCAAATTTAAAAGCATATTTAAAAAATCATTCATCAAAATTAATATTTGCCCCTGAATGCAAGGATGGTTCAACATATACAAATTAGCAAGTGTGATACATTAAATTAGTAGTATAAAGTATACAAATTATATGATCATTTTAATGCACGCATATAAAATATTTAATAAAATTCAACATTTTTTTCATGATAAAAACTCTCAACAAATTAAGTGCCAAAAGAATGTATTTAAGCATAATAGAGGTCACATTTGACAATTGCACAGCTAATATTATACTCATGTCGAAAGCTGAAATTTTTTTCTCTATGATCAGGGACAAAATAAGGATACCTGCTCTTACCATTTTCATCCAACATGCCACCTGTAGCTATAGTTAGAGCAATTAGGCAAGAAATAAATTTTAAAAGGCTTTCAAATTGTAAAGGAAGACATAAAATTCTGTCTGCTTGCAGACAACATGACGGTATCTATAGAAATTCCTAAACACTCCAGCAAAAAACAGTTAGAACTAATTTAAAAAAATAGTAAAGTTGCAGGATACAAGATAAATATACCAAAATCAATTATGTTTTTAACAGCAAACTATCTGAAAAATAAATTAATAAAACAATTCCATTCCCAATAACAATAAAAATAATAAAATATTTAGGCATACATTTAACTAAGAAATTGAAAGATCTAAATCTTAAAAACTATAAAACATTAAGAAAAGAAATTTACATTGACACATGTAAATGAAACATATCTTATGGTCATGATTTAGAAGAACTAATATTGCTAAATTTCTACACTACCAAAAACAGAAAAATTACATCCATAAATCATCAGGAAAATGCAAATAAAAACTACAATGTAGTATCACATTATTCCTGTTAGAATGAATGATATTAAAGACAAAGATGTGGAAAAAAAGTAACTTTTGTACATGGTGGTTGGGACTGCAAATTGTTACACTTATTATGGATTACAGTATAGAAGTTTCTCAAAAAGTTAAAAATAGAGCTAATATATGATCCAGCAATTCCACTAGAGAGCATATATCCAAAGAAAATAAAATTATTATCTCAAAGAGATACCTGCACTCTAACTTTCATTGCAGCATTATTTATAATACACAAAATATAAAAACAACTTAAGTCTCCATTGACATGTAAATTGATAAAGAAATGTAATGGGATAGATATACATATATGTATCATATATCTATATCTATATTCAGGCATACCTTGGAGATATTGCAGGTTGGGTTCTAGACCACCATAAAAATAAACTCTTGCAACAAAACAAGCCACAGAAGTTTTTTGGTTTACTAGTACATACAAAAGTTATATTTATACTATAATGTAGTTTATTAAGTGTGCAATAGCTTAATTTTATGTCCAAAAAATCATTGTACATACCTGAATTTAAGAAGTACTTTATTGCTAAAAAATGCTAACAATGATCTGATCCTTCAGCAAGTCATAATCTTTTTACTGGTGGGGAATCTTGCCTTGATGTTGATGGCTGCTGACTAATCAGGATTGTGATTGCTGAAGGTTGGGGTCACTATGGCAATTTCTTAAAAGAAGACAAAAGTGAAATTTGCCACATCAATTGACTCTTCCTTTCACAAAAGATTTCTCTGTAACATGTGATGCTGTTTGATAGCATATCACCCACAGTAGAACTTCTTTGAAAATTGGAGTATATCTTATGAAACCCTGCACTTCTTTGTCAACTAAGTCTATGTAAGATTCTAAATCTTTTGATTTATTTCAACAATGTTCACAGAATCTCCACGAGGAGAGAATCTGTCTCAATAAACCAATATCTTTGCTCACCCATAAGAAGCAACTTCTCATCCATTCATGTTTTAGAATGACATTGTAGCAATTCACTCACATCTTCAGACTCCACTTCTAATTCTAGTTCTCTTGCTATTTTCACCATGTGTGCAGTTACTTCCCCCCACAATGTCATCCATGAGTGTTGGAATCAACTTCTTCCACACTTCCGCTAATGTTGACATTTTGGCGTCCTCCAATGAATCATGAATATTCTTTATGAATATTCTTTGTGGAATCTAGAATCATCTTCAGAAGTTTTTCAATTTACTTGTCCAAATGCATGAGAGGAATCAATATCTATAGCAGCTATAGCCTTTCAAAATTTATTTCTTTAATAATAAGACTTGAAAGAAAAAAAATACTTCTTGATCCATGGGCTGCAGAATGCAGATTGTGTTAGCAGGTATAAAAATAACGTTAATTTCCTTGTATAACTCCATCAGAGCTCTTGGGTGACTAAGTACATTGGTCAATGAGCAGTAATATTTTGAAAGAAACCTTTTTTTTTTTTCTGAGAAGTAGGTCTCAACAGTGGGCTTAAAAATATAGAAAACCATTCTATAAAGAGATTTGCTGTCATTCAGGCTTGTTGTTCTATTGTAGAGCACAGGCAGCATAGATTTAGCATGATTTCTAAGGGCCTTAATATATTCAGAATGGTAAATAAGCATTGGCTTCAACATAATGTAAAGAGCTGCATCAGCCACTAAAAGAGAGGTGGCTTGTCCTTTGAAGCTTTGAAGTCAGGCCCATTGACATCTCTTCTTTAGCTACAAAAGTCCTAGATAGCATCTCCTTCCAGTAGAAGGCTCCTTTGTCTACATTAAAAATCTGTTGTTTTATATAGCCACCTTCATCACTTAGCTAGACATTCTGGACAACTTGTTGCAGCTTCTGTGTTAGCACTTGCTGCTTCACCTTGCACTTTAATGTTATGGAGATAGCTTCTTTCTTTAAACCTCATGAGACAATCTCTACTAGCTTCCAACTTTTCTTCATCAGCTTCTTCATCTCTCTCAAGCTTTGTAGAATTGGAGTTAAGGCCTTCTTATGAATTCGGTTTTGGCTTAAGGGAATGTTGTGTCTTCTTTGATCATTTATCTAGACCCTAAAACTTTCTCTATATCAGAAATAAGGCTGTTTTCCTTTCTTATCAATTGTATGTTCACTAGCAATTTTAATTTTTTCAAAGACTTTTCTTTGCATTTACAACCTTGCTAACTTGTTCTGTGCAGAAGTCCTTGCTTTTGGTCGTTTTGGTGTTTTACATACCTTCCTCAGTAAGCTCAATTATTTTAGCTTTTGATTTTGAAAGATATGCAATTCTTTCTTTAATTTTAATAATTAGAGGCTATTGTAGAGATATGAATTGACCTAATTTTAACATTGTTGTGTCTTGGGGAATAGGGAGGCCTGACAACAGGAAGAGAAATGGAGAAATTGTCATTGGTGAAGCAGTCACAACACACACGTTTAAGTTTGCTGTCGTATATGGTTGTGGTTTACAATAGCGATGTCAATGATCACTGATCACAGATCACCAATGCTCATAGATATTAAACACAAAGTTGCCACAAAACTTCGGTTTGTAGAAACAATATCTGCAAAGTGCAAGAAAGCAAAGCACAAAAAATAGGTATGCCTTTGTGTGTGTGTGTGTATATATATATGTATATATAAAGCAGAATATTTCTCTGTTTTATAAAAATAAGATCTTGTCATTATGTGACAACATAAATAAACCCTTAGGATTTTATGCTAAGTGAAATAAACCAGACACAGAAAGAAAATTACTGCATTTTCTCTCCTGTATGGGGAATCTTAAAAAGTTTAAGTCATAGAAGTAGAGAGTAGAATGGTGGTTACTAGGGTACAGGGGGTGGAAAATATTGGGATATGTTAGTGAAAGTGTACGAAGTTTCAGTTTGAAAGATGAAAAAATTTTATAGATCTAATATACAATATGATGACTATAGTTAATAGTACCATCTTTTACTTGAAATAAGTAAATAATACTGTCTTTTATACTTGAAATTTGCTAAAAGAATAGATTTTAAATGTTTTCACCACACATGCAAAAAAGGTACCTGATGGATATGTTAATTAATTTGATTTTGATGAACATCTCACAATGCACATCCATACCAAAATTTTAAATTGTGCACCTGAAATATATATAAAATGTGTTTGTCAATTATGCTTCAGGAAAAGTGGAAAAAAAATTAATAATACAATAAAAAAGTAATTGGTAATAAAATCTTGCTATTAGAGCAAAAATTGCAGATCAGAAAATAAGGGAAAATCTAGAGGGAAAAGAAGAGATACTTGAATTTTGATATAATTGAGAAATAAAGAAAGATATATGAATGCATGTTCCTAGTTTCTTTAGTTCCCAACCTGACATTGTTAGCAGTAGAAGAGCTCTGAGTTACCCTGAATTAAGGGTGGCATAGCCATACAGGTTTATAGCAACTTTAGTCCTTGCCTCCTCAGAAGAAAGAATGTGACTGAGGGGCATAAAGCAGAAAAAGAGACTGAGGCAAATTTTAGAGCAGGAATGAAAGTTTATTTAAAAGGCTTTAGAACAGGAAGGAAGGGAAACCCTTGGAAGAGATTCTAGTGGGCACCTGAAGGTCAAAAAGGAAAGAGGAAGAAGCCCTTTAACCTTGATCCTTAGACTTTACAGGCTCACCTCTTTCCCATGATTCTTCCCTTAGGGTGGGCTTCTTGCATATGCAGTGATTTCCTTAACCTTTGTAATTGAGCACACACAGTGTGATTAGGGAGTAATACGCATGCACATCTGAGGTTTTTATTTTTCCTTTTTTCTGGTGGTATGTGCCCCCTGACTGTCACATTTCACTGTTTTGTCCCTTAACACACATGCCCAAGAGGCCTCTTCTCCCTGGGGTCTGCATTCAATTAACACGTTTAATGTTAACAAGTGTGGATCATCAGGAGATTGTCTCTTCTTGGCTGTTGAATTATTATTTTTAGAGAGGCAAACTGATAATTGCCAAACCATCACCTGACATTTCCAGTGGGACTGGGAAAGCCCTCCCCTGCCCTGCTCATGCCTAACTACCTGAAACAATGTGGTATTGGAGAAAATTCCAAAAAATAACAGTAAAAGTTGGGTGAGGTACATTACTGGGATTAATTTCCAACTTCCTAAAGCTGATGGCTAGATAGAGGAAATTGGAAATCCCTGGCAACTCAACAAAAGTAATTAAGAGAGTTCCTATTATACAGCTGGAATAATAGATATAGTATAACGTCACTGAATGTTAAAATTTATTTTAGTATTAATGAACTTCAACTCCAGAAGACAGAAAAAAGTAAAACACCACCCCTGGCTGCAGGAACGTGATATATTGCATTTTTTGGTTTCTGTTCATTTTAAAGCTTTGCTTTATTGAAGGATAATTATAGACAAAAAATATTTTGTGGAATTTATTCTCAAAAAGACCAGTAATAATTTTAGCTTTCTTTAGTATTTCATACATTCATAAAATAGCAGATTGTAACAGGAATTGCTATAGTACTCGCAATAGAGGTGATTGTTTCTGTGCAATTGATGGAGAAAACTGCATGCAAGTAAAACTTGAACTTTGAAAAACTGAGTCAGGGAAATTGAGAATTATTTTCAGTGATGATATTATTCCTTATAGAAAGCAATCAGTCCAAAATGGAGCAGTATTTTATCCAAAAGTGAGCAGGCTGATTAAAGGCTAATGGAAATGGGAAAACAAAGAAAATCAAAATTAAAATTTCAGGAAAACCTAAAAACATGTTCCACAAAAACTTTCCTAGTGAACAATACATTTTTTTCTATGATATTCTTTCCTTTCTATCTTCTCCTTCTTAGAATAAGCAGTCTCCAAGATTAATAGCTGGTAGTCTATACATTTATCATTCTTTTATAAATAAATTCTTGTGCAAATTCCTAATATCTTAAGGATACCATATTCATTGATTTATTCATTAAAATGGTCAGCATCTGCTTTTAAATATTAATGTCATCTTACATAGTTGACTTTTAAAGAGATAATATTTCTTCAACTTGTTTTCCTCACATAAATTACATTTAAAAATTACTACAAGGTAATTAATATAGAACTAACCCATAGTATTTAATAGCTGCATAATATATGTGAAAATTTATCTAATGACTTTGATACAGATGATTATGCTAACACTTTTCATTGGTTTTGATCTTATTTTGTGTCACATAATAATATTTTATACTATTTTTCATAAAAATACTATTATTGTTAATGGCATCTAAGTGGTTTATAGTTTGGGGCACTATTGTGAATGAGATTTTTTTACCAATTTTATTTTTAACTCATTATGATTAGTATAAAAAAATTCCTATAGTTACCTTACCAAATCAGCCTATTAATTATAGAAGGGTAGATTATCTTTATCATATTATCTCCAAGTATGAAGAGTTATTATTCCTCTTTTATGATATATTTGATAATTATTTTATTTTCTTGTTCAATTTTTTTACCTAAAAACTGCCAAACAGTGTTGAAATATAATGATGATAAAAAGTATCTTTTTTTGCTTCTGGAATTTTATATAATACCTTTGGGATTTTTTACATTAAAATGGCCTTTATATTTGGGTTTTTATTAAATATTTAGACACATTAATACAGTTTGCTTCTAATCCTATTTTATGTAAATTTTTATTTTGTAAGTAAGATTAGGAGAAAATCTACTGGATTTATCATGTAAAACTTTATGAAGTTATAGATAAGAATGAGTTATACCTATCTCAGTGTAATAAGGACTGAGTTTTTTTTCAGGTGACTTTTTAAGCATATGTTACAAAAGTAAATACCTTCTCTTCTTTTTGTTGCTGTAATTCATTATATTGCTACATTACCTGATGTTACTACCTTGCATTCCTGAAATAAATGCTATTTTTCATAAGGTATATTAATAGCAATTGACTAGGATATAAATCATATCCATCATAAAGTATTGTTATAAATTAATATGCAAAATAGTATCCATATATAATCACACCGTCATTATTATTAAAGCGCATGACAATGTTGAGGCTCAGTACACATCACCCTCAATACACATACTTTGGTATGATTGTAGCAGACCAGCTCTGCTACTCCAAAATATACTTACTTGATATATTTTGATCCAATTAGTCTTAGAAACTGAAGACACAGGAGTATCTCTCAAAATTGCCCTTTTGAAACAGAAATTTATATATCTGTGAAGATAATCTACATTAGTAAAATGTTTGTCTCAGGAATAGGGCTGCTACCAGTGAACTTTTATTGCCTGACATACTTTTTACCTGCATAACAAAACAACATTTATTCTCCATACATTTCTTTTTTTTCTTTTCTTCTTCTTTTTTTTCTTTTCTTTCTTTCTTTTCTTCCATCACCCTCCAAAAACTTGTTTCCATCACCCAACAAAAGCCCTAAGTCACTATTCCCCTCTGTAGCTCAAGATGCTGTATCAGCTTCAATCATCTGACCTTTCTTTAAGTCTCATATTTTGTGGAACCCCATGCAATTAAATATGGTTTTTCTCTTGTTAATCTGTTTATGTTAATTTAATTTATAGTCCAACCAAAGAAACTTGAAGTGAGGTGGAAACCAATGTTTCCTCCTCTGAAATAAGTACTCCACTTACAAAAAATGTATTTGATACCCTTGTTAGTGCAAGTATTTTATTTTGTACATTTGCATTTACATTCTTAATTGAGATGGATCTGGATAATAATTATAAATATTTTATAGGTTAGTTGATAGGACTAAATGAATTCACATATATAAAATAATTAGAACAATTCACAGGCATAGTACCATTATAAGATATTTGTTTTCTGCATTCCTGTTTAGCTGCTTTAGGGGTTGGTAGGCAGGGGTGAAAGTTATGAGTTTTATTACAAATAGTGAAATTTTCCCAAGTAAGTAAGACTGCAGGTGGAAAAATTTGAGATTATATGCAGGAGAGTGACTATAATTTCCTTCAAGCATTCTAACTTGCATGAATAGAAGATTAGGAAATAAATGATGAACAAGAAAAAGTTTTGATATTACTGGATTCGAGAACCTTCACAGTGTAAAGGAGTTTCATAGTTGGTATGCTAGGAAAAAAAAAAAACTGAAAAGAAAGTAGAGGTGTTGTTAGAGAGTGGGATACTCCAAATCCAGATAATGAGGGCAGTAAAATTTCTGGTGATGATGAGGTACAGTATGTACAGGAATAGACACACAAGATGAAGTGGAGGGCATTATCTATGAATACAGAATGATCAACAAAATCAGAATTTTAGACTATATTGTGAAAGAAAAAATATCTTGGGGCTCCCAAATCACTAAGATAAATGGAAAAGTCAACCTGGGAACATCTCAGGGCAAACCTGCCTCCGATTCTATTCAAAGTCACCTCTATGCTCACTGAGGTAAATGCATATCTGATTGTCGCCTTTGGGGAGGCTAATCAGAAACCCAAAGGAATGCAACCATTTGTCTCTTATCTTCCTATAACCTGGAAGCTCCTTTCTGCTTCAAGTTGTCCCACGTTTCTGGACCAAAATAATGTTCATCTTACATATGTTGATTGATATCTCATGTATCCATAAAATGTATAAAACTAAACTGTGCTCTGACCACCTGGGACACATGTAGTCAGAACATTCTGAGGCTGTGTCTTGGGTGCCCATCCTCAAGCTAAATAAACTTTCTCAGTTAACTGAGACCTGCCTCAGACACTGAAGGTTCACATTTTGGTAACAACAAGGAGATTCTGAGTGGATGTACCTCTGACCTTTGACAAATTTCCTATCAGTGCTGGGTACCAGCACGAGCTAACTTTATGGCTCAAACAAATAGGACAATTTGCTAAGGTCTGGGAGCACCCTTCCAGAGACTCCCTGATCTCCCAAAATAAAGTTTATTTTGCTGTACAACTCTCTTTATTTTTAAAGTTTTACTTGCTTCCAACAAGGAAGATAAGATTTCCTGTTTCTATGGTAATCTGGCAAGTAACTGGAGTTTGAGTTTGCTCCCAGAGGGGAGGATAAGTTTGAGTTATTTTTCCTCTTTCCAGGATGGTAAAGGATAATCTTCAGCCTGAGACCTATCCCTTGGTAAGCAGGTGAATTGGGGTTTTGTCTTGGCTAAAGTTAACAACCAGCTGGTCTTAATTTCTCCTCACCATTAGAGTGCTCAGTGATTATATTGTTGGTTTTTTGTTGTTGTTTGTTCTGGTCTTTCTCTCTTCAGATTTGACCAACTCTTCCTGACTTGGTCAAATCTGAGAGAGAACTCAGAATTATGAATAACAAAGCCTCTCTAATTTTGCTAAAATTCCTCACAGCTCCAAAAGAGGAAAAAAAAAAACAAAAAACAACCAAAACCCCTCAAAAATCCAGTTTGTTTCTGTGTTTGCTTTCTGTCTTAAAAAAAAAAAAAAGTTTTTTCATTTACTTTTCTTCCACCTCCTTCCCCCTCTTGCCATCTGTAGTACCAAAAATCTAGAGAAGGCTTCTAATGACTTGCACCCCTTTAAGGAATTCAGAACAAAGGTGCCACTCACCCCTTTGGAGGTGTTCTGTTTTCTTTCTGGAGTTTCAGAAGTCATGGGTAGATTCTGCTTAGATGTAAAGCTGTTTTTCTGTATTGCATGATCTGACCTCTTTGGCTTTGGGGATACCAAAGACTACCTTGTACTGTGAGAGAATTTGACTTTGGTGTGTGTAGTGGCTGACAAGAGCTATAAAGTAGGGGTGGCTGAGAACAGTTTATAGATAGTGGTCTTGCCTGCTGTTTCTTTTCCTCCTGGAAAGTTGTTGTTTAAGGATCCTAATTCTAGTTCGAAGATGCATTCTGAAGGGTCTTCTCTGCTTGCTTTTTCTCCCAAAATTTGGCTTGTCTGTGCACATTTGCATGAGGAACCAAACTCTTGTTTTCATAGGTAAATGAGAGGCTGAGTTTCCTCAGCTTTGAAAAAAAGGACGTTTTGCTCCTCCCTGCCAAAAAGGCACCCCTGGGTGACTGAGGGCCTCATGGGAGGGTCCAGGGGGCCTGACCCCACTCAACATCCAGTGGTCCTGCAGGGAAATTCCCAACAAAAATTAACTTTTTAAAAACAGGATCGTCCAGGAAACGCATGTAAGGGCTGATCACTCAGTGTTTTGAGCCCTCTCAGAGGTCATAGACCTCTGGAGAGAGAAATTGAGACACCTAAGAGGATGGAAATGACGTAGTGGTGATACACTGTGGAGTCCTGCTCACAAGCAGCACACATCAGTCCACCACACAAACACCCTAGGCCACAGCTCAATTCCTCCTTTTAAGAAAAAAAAAAGTGGGAAACAAATAATCTATGAATGAGGAGAAAAAAAGAAGAGTGACCCCCTTGCAAGCACTCTGTAGGTTTTATGGCACCTCTACTTGCCAGAGTTTATGTGAAATGGAAATAATATGGTCTTTATGCACAGTTACATTAAGAAAAAAGAACCCTAAGGTCACTCTGCAAATGATAGAGTTTCTAAGTTCTCTTTTTGCTCTATTTTCTTTTCTGCCTGCTTTAAATCTGCTGTTATTTTTCTATTAAGATAAAAACCACTGTTTGTATCCAACAGGTTATTTATTTGCAAGCTGGTGAATTTGTATTTATCTCATGCCTACATCTCTAAAGTAAGAGCTATAGAATCTTTGTGTGTGTGTGTGTGTGTGTGTGTGTGTGTGTGTGTTTATTTAGAAGGCCTTTATAATTTCTATAATTTCATGTTTAATTGGCAATTAAGTCAGTTTTAATTTCTCTTCAGCACACCAGACTTTCTCTCACCATATCTTATGATGTAAATTTTGCTATTTGATTTTCACCTGAGTTCTTTCTTTTAGCATGCAAATTTAAGGCTATTTGGCTGACAACTGCCTAGGGTTACCAAGAATTGATACAGGTTACCTATTGAAACACGTTATGAAGAATTTGAAGCCTAAGATGGAAAAAAGAAGGTTTTTATGAATTTATAAGATGTACTTTTACCAGCATGCCAAATATATCTATGTATTTATGTGTTATGCACACAATGTTTCATTAATAAAAATATATAAAGTAATTCTAATTAATCAACTTAATAAAATAAAAGTGCTTGAATCAAATACTTTATCAGAAAAAAAAGAAAAGACTAGTCAAATGCTTTTTCAAGTGTACATAACTTAAGTGAAATCTTTAATAGATAAGCTAACTTTAAAATTATTGGTGAAGTATAATAATATTAGAAACATCTTCAGAATTGCCAGTATACATTTTTGTTGGCATCAAAATTTGGCATAGGGGTTGCAAAACTATAAACCAAGCCCAAAACAGAATGATGTTTGCTTGTGTAATTTTTAATTAGTAAGATCTTGATATTGGTTTAATGAAAATAGCTACATCTTAAATTTAGTAAAATTACCATAACTTCTAATGTGGCTTTAGGCAGTCTAGTCCACAGGCAGTAAGATTTGCTGTGGGAAAGGGCTGCTATTATCTTTGTTCAAATCTAAACTATAAACCAAGTTCCTCCCAAAGTTAGTTTGGCCTATGCCAGGAATGAACAAGGTCAGCTTGGAGGTTAAATTCAAGATGAAGTCAGTTAAGTCAGATCTTTTTTACTGTCGCTTATAATTTTGCAATAGCAGTTTCATAACTTTAGATGCTGACTCTAATTTTTTATAAATAATCTATGTAAAAAATTACAATAAAAAATTATGTAAATGTAATGAGATAAATACTTATAGACAAATTCATGATTTAGAAACTAAAGTTATATTAAATTAAATAGTAGATATTTCACTATTTGAGTATTTTTTAATAAAATCTATTTGTCAGAAAATGTGTGTTTTTGTTTAATTCAAGGCTTATTTAAAGGTTATGTTTAAAACAAGGTAAAAGGAAACAGGAAATAAGAAAGAAGTAAAGAAAGTTATATGAATAAAGAGGATTTTTTTGGTAAGTAAGCTTAAAGAGAAATAATTTTTTATGAGAAAGAATCTTTTATGGTAAATTTAGTCTTGTAATAAAATGACTGGTTGTTTAAGAAAGAAGAATGTTCAGGACAAACCAGGAAGTCCAAGTGTATCATGAATGGTCTGTGTAACAATAAGAGGCTTTATTAAAAAAATAAAACTTTCATATAATCAAGTTGTTGATAATTAAAGGAAAATTATAATGATCTTTCTAGAGATTGAGGTGAATGTAAAAAAAACACTTATTACTAAATAGTTGGTTAGAACAAAAAAATTTCTTAAGAGATTGATTTGTTCTTAATAAATTATGAAAGATTTTAATTTTTTAAACTCAAAGTTTAACTTTTCTTTCATCTCACCATTTTTGGTTTTCTCTCTCATTTTAAAGGGTGTGAAATAGCAACGCTGTCCTTCAACTAATTTTCAGCTCATATAAGTTTTTTTCCTTGAGTTCTGCTCATTGTGGCCTAATGCTAATGATGGTTTCTTAAAGGATTAAAGGAAATTTTTTCTTCCAACCTAATAGTCTGTGCATTGCAGAAGGTCTTTTCTTTTGCCTTTTGGCAACTGGCCTAACAGATTATAAGATATATCAAAACAATTCCTATTCCATTATTATTATGTTTTGGTTCCCTTAGGAAAAAAACTAAGATTAAAAAAATTCTTAAATTAAGGTTATCACATTCGTGTATCATTCTGTATGTGCTTTTAAAGTACTTGTGACATTGACTTATGGGGCTTTGACTCTTGGATCTTAAAAAGGGCACCAAATTCTGCTAAATCTTAAACACTGACAACAATTAAACACTTATCATCAGGTCCAGTGGAAGACACCAATCAGAGTAAACTGCATTCTTAAGATACAGGGCCAGAAATTAAAGCTATGCAATTCCTCAAGATCCAGAGACTATCATGGAAGAGGTGGGTGTGTGAGATTGTGACAGTGAATTTTGAGAGATATAATAAGTTCAATTTCCCTATAAATTAATCATTATGTCAAAGGCATACTCATGCAAGACCAGCATATGGGCCCCTGTGTCAGATTAACAAGGTTTTCTTGAAGCACTAACTGACTCCTTAATAAAGGTTATAAAGGTTATAAAAGGCTTATGAAACTTATATATTATGGTCAAGATGAAAATTTTATAGATTTTTTATACAATTTTGAAAAACAAATTTACTTGGCTTCTTTTTTCAAGGCTTACTGTTTGGAAAATTAAGTCTCCTCTCTCAAAGAATGAAGGCCTTTTTTTTTTTTTTTTTTTGGAAATCCTCAGTTATCACTATGGTCAAAGGAATGACTTATTTGACAATGACCTGTGATATCAAGTGTTTTAAACCTCTGATATTTGACAAACTTTCCAAAATTAAATTATAAATTATGTATTTTTCTTACCTAATTAATTCTTTAAGATATTAGGTTCCCTAAAGTACAAAAATGACATAATTTGGCTTATTTGGTATAAAATTATATAGGAAACATTTTCAAATATGAAACGATGTTTGGTTTTCCTTGGGTTGTGCTCTGACCACCTGGGGCATATCATCAGAACCTTCTGAGACTTTGTCATGGGTATGCATCCTTGACCTTGGCAAAATAAACTTTCTAAATTAACTGAGACCTATCTCAGATATTCAGGATACACAGTATGAATCATAATAGATATAAACATTATTAATGATAAAATTTATAATAAGGAAAATCAGAGTGATCTACATATTAAAAAATTGGTAAATTAGGGAGAGCAATGAGGGAATTGGTTGCCAAAAGCTCCAGGAAAGGGTCACATTTGGTATATTCAAAAGAAATGGGCTCCAAAGGGCTAAGGTTGATTTTTTCATTGATATACTCACTATTTTTACTTCTATTTTAACTATGTCAAGTTCTGAAAGACATATTTAAAAGTCACCAGTTATAATTATGTTTTTGTCAGGTCTTCAGTGTATTTCTAGGAATATTTCTTTTTTATGTGCCACTGCTGTTGTTCTATATAAAATGATTTATGACTCTTACATCTTTTTTCTAAATTATACCTTTTTTTATTACATAGTGTCAATCTGGGTCCCACTTTCCCACTTAATGCTTTTGACCTTAAATGTCACTTTTTCTGCTATTAATATTGCCATTTATGTTTTTTCCCCAGTTTCTGAAATCTCTATTCATTACTTTGACCATTTTTACCTCTTTCTTTTAGATTTTTGTTGTTTTTTCTTATAAAGACATATAGTTGGAATTAATTCCTAACCACTAATGCAGTCATTGTCTTGGAATATTCAGCCTATTCATAAATGATGTATTAATAATTGTCCTTAATTTATTTCTTCTATATTGTTTTTTCCTTAACATGGACTTTGTTAGCTTTGGTTTTCCATTGTTTTTGGCTTAATAAATATTCTTTTCTTTTTGTTAGTATTGTCAAGTATTTATTTTTTATAAAAATTCAAGGTCATAGCAAAATTGAGTAGGAAATACAGAATTCCCACGTACCCTTTCCATGCCTGCATATACAGGCTTTGGCAACATCAATGTACCAGTGTGGTATATCTGTTACCAATTGATAAGCCATCATTGTCACATCATTATCAACCAAGTCCACAGTTTACATTAGGGTTCACTCCTGGTATTGCACATTTTGTGGTTTGTGTTTGTTTGAGATTGGGTATCACTCTGTCACTCAGGCTGGAGTATAGTGGTATGATCATAGCTCACTCTAACTCAGGTTCCTGGGCTCAAGTGTTCCTCCTGCCTCAGCCTCCCAAGTAGCTGGGACTACAGGTATATGCCATCCTGCCCAACCAACTGAAAAGTTGTAGATAAAAAAAGCCAGGTGTGTTGGTGTGTGCCTGTAATCTCAGCTCTTCAGAAGGCTGAGGCACAAGAGTCGCTTGAGCCTGGAAGACGGAGGTTGCAGTGAGCCGAGATCAGGCCACTGGACTCCAGTCTGGGCTACAGAGTGAGACTCTGTCTCAAACAAAAAAAAAAAAAGTATTTTGGAAAAGAACGTACTAAAATTATATCAAAGATATGCCAATCAACTGAAAATAAAAATGAGGTAAAGGAAAAATTGGCATCAGAAACATAGAATTTAAAGCAAAAGATGTTAACTGAGCCAAAAAGAACCACTGTATTTTAAAGAAGAGTATAAAGTATTATGGACACAGTGGACCCTTAATTGACATGGAGTTTAGGGGTACTCATGTCTTTCTTGCACAGTTAAAAATTCAACAGTAACTTTTGACTCCCCCAAAACTTAACTAGTAACAGCCTACTGTTGACTGGAGGCCTTAACAATAACATAAACCATTGAATAAAACATACTTTGTATATTATATTTATTATATACTATATTCCTACAATAAAGTAAGCTAGAAAAATTATATCAAGAAAAATCATAAAGGAGAGAAAATAAATGTACTATTCATTAAGTGGAAATGCATCATCATAAAGGTCTTTATCCTCATTTTCTTCACATTGAGTAGTAGTAAATAATCTAAATGATAGTAACATTAATAAATAGATTTCAGATATACTTGAGTACTTAACATGTGATTCATTTCCCACAAATTAATTCAAGAGCTCACAGTTTTCAGTAATACTATTAAGACAACAAAATATCATGACATAAAAAAGAACAATGGCCTCCAGCTCTATCCATGTCTCTGAAAAGGACATGATCTCACTCTTTTTCATGGCTGCATAGTATTCCATGGTGTATATGTACCACATTTTGTTTATCCAGTCTATCATTGATGGGTTTGTAGGTTGATTCCACATCTTTTGCTATTGTGAATAATGTTGCAATGAACATGCATGTGTCTTTATAATAGAATGATTTATATTCCTTTGGGTATATTCCAAGTAGTGGGATTGCTGGGTCCAATGGTATTTCTGTCTTTAGGTCTTTAAGGAATCGCCACACTGTCTTCCACAATGATTGAACTCATTTACACTCCCACCAACAGTGTACACATATTCCTTTTCCTCTACAACCTTGCCAGCATCTGTTATTTATTGACTTTATAATAATAGCCATTCTGACTGGTGTGAGATGGTATCTCACTGTAGTTTTGATTTGCATTTCTCTAATAGTGATGTTGACATTTTTTTTTCACATGGAGGCCATTATCCTTAGCAAACTAACACAGGAACAGAAAACTAGATACCGGATGTTCTCACTTATAGGTGGGAGCTAAATAATGAGAACACATGGACACATAGAGGGGAAAAACAAACTGGGACCTTTGGAGGGAAAGACTGGGAGGAAAGAGAGGATCAGGAAAAACAACTACTGTGTACTAAACTTAATATCTGGGTGATGAAATAATCTGTACAACCCCCATGACACAAGTTTACATATGTAATAAACCTGCACATGTGCCCCTGAACTTAAAATAAAAGTTAAAAAAAGAACAATGATGAATATAAAAGGAAAGCAATAGAAACAAACCAAATTTTTTAAATAAAAGAAAAAGGATAAAAAAGGCAAGTCATGAGTCAAAAATAAAATCAAGTAAAAAAATAGCAGTGCAAACAAAATTATGGGATGTGGCAAAAATATACCTGTAAAGAAAATCATAATCCTAAATTTTTTAATATCAAAAGAGAATAAATTCTTCAAATCCAACATCCAACTAAGTAAACAAGAGAATGCATAGCAAAAAAACAAAAATAATATAGAATAATTGCAACAATAAAGACAACATGAGCAATTTAGGAAAAAGAAATGACAAATGACAAATCTGGAAAGCAAGTCTTTTAAACACTGAAAATATTAGAGATATTTCTTACAAAGTAATCAAGAATAAATTAAAATATAATCACAAACAATTGCCAGTGTGAATTATTAATATGATATAACTGTATAGATCAAATATATTTTACAAACAATAGGAGATTATATCAAATAATAATACATATTAAAACTCATAGGAAATTATACGATATTGTGAGAAAATACAATTGATCAAAGCCGAATTAATTAGAGAAATACAATTTAAGTATTTCACTAACTATATGAGAAAAACAACCAACACAACAGCAAACCATCTTCCAATACACCTATAATGATACTGAGTTAAAACTGTTTTATAAGAGATTTCTGTAGAATTTTTAGGCAGTAGATTAAGTTTACATGATTAGAATTGCTTCAGCACATGGATCAGCCAAAAGGATTTGCCATTGCATTTTTGAACTCAGCATATTTCTTACTAACTTGCAGAGGATGGCATTAAAATAAAAGCATATTAACTCTGTATATTTTGAATTAAATTAAGTAGCATGCAAAAAAATAAATATAACAGGAAGAACTAGTATTTATCCCTAAAATTCAAGGATGATCCAATTAGAGAATTCATTAGCTGCAAATTATATTGAAATAAGCTAAAGATAGATTTGATCAAATTCTACATTCATTCCTGGCAAAACAATAAAACCAGAACAGACTATTTCTCCAACATAATAAAATAAAACTTATATCAAGCCAAAAGCAGTAGTCATGGTTAATGTTTATATCTTCCATTGATCAAATCATTTGTATTAAAAATCAAGAACAAGACAAGACGTGAGCTCTCATTCTAAATCAATAACACAAGAAAACAAAATAATTTAAAAAATCAAAAACAGGAAAAACATTTCAATGTTAATACAATTGCCTAATCAGCTCAAAAAAGAAAATAAATTAGCCAGTTGCAAATTTAATGCAACTTTCCAAAACAAGACATATATAAGATGATGAAAAAATCTCTTTAGAAAACGTTGCTCAAAATCATACGAAACTTAATCACATCTAAATATGCTCTATGTAAAGAGAACAGGAATCTAACTATTAAACAAGATAATTTAAATACATGCAATGGGATAGCTTGCATTAATATTTTCAAAGATGCATTACTTCTAATGTTAGCCTATTTGTTAGATTTATAATGAACATTTTATTAGATTTTTAGAATTGGAAAATAATGATTTTTAAGTTTATCTAGAAATATAAAGATTTGTGTAAGAAAATGTGATGGAAAGTCTTAATTTATTATGTAATAAATGAGGTTAAAATTTTATTTTAATCAAATAAATGGACACTACTGTCAAGTTATATATATAGAATAATCACATTAAGTTTAAATTTAGGAATTTATATTGAAACATATAATATAAAGATAACATTTCTTTTTAGTGGGTAAAGGATAGAGGTTAATCCTATACTTAATGCCAAAGCAAAACTCAGCTGTATTAAATATTCAATATATCATAATATGTAAATATATATATATATCATCAGAAGTCCATATAGGTAAATATCTATATAATCATAAGCTAGGAAACAATATATTTAATAAAGAAGTCAGTTGAGTACATAACATTTTTTTTAAAGTCTATATGAAGAAAGACCATAGTCTTTAAGAGGAGACAAACATCAGGAAAACCATTTGCAACAAATTTAAAACATGAGATTAGTATCATAAATATGTAAAACTATTCATACAAAATAATTTCAAAAATTCAATATCTACATCGTACAATTCACTAATTATATGTTATAAAAATTGAACTGTAAAACACTAAATATTTGTGAAAAAACATGTCTCAGTGTCAATGCTAATTATAATAGTAAATACATTATTAAATAACTATAGTACATATTAATAAGTATGTGGTAAATAAACTGGAAAATCCAAGAGTAAGCTAAATTTAAATAAGAAGGGATTTGTTTAAATACATTTTTATACATCTAAGGTAACATTACAAAGTTAATTAAAATAGCATGCATTTTACTATGAAAATTATTTTATGACATAATTTGTTTGCAGAAAACACCAGTGTTTTAAACCTCTTTAAATATTAAAGATTTAAACTTTTGTGATATAAAACACATATTTATATAAAACTAAGACATAGAAAATTGTAAGGATGTATAATTATCTAAAAATATAATAAAAGTTATCTCTGGCTGGAGGAATAACAGTTATCCCTGGCTAGTGAAGATATTATATATTTTCATTTTCATTGTGCCTTCTCTATATTCTTTAAAATTATGAGCTACTTTTCTATTTTTAAATGAGTTTTTTGTTATCCAAGTCTGTAGGTTAATAAGTACAAATATTGAATTAGGATGCTGAAACAGAGACTTGGATGAATTGTGGAAAATACTCTTTAGAAATACTTTATCTCACAAATTATAGTCAAGTAACCAGGACCTAAATACATCCATTCACTCTGTCTTGTGCTTTTTTTTCATTTTGTGTGTATCTGCATACCTGTTGCAAGACCAACAGTGTGGGGTGCTGCCAAGCTAGGAAGCAAGGGACTATTCCTGTGAGGTCAGTTGCTGGGGCCTTATTGCCTGGAAGAGGAAAAATATCTCAAAAAAGAATATTGAAAGTATCAATTAAACATTTTTGAAAATCCAGGTACTGATTTTCACAATTGTCTTTATGATCCACCTGTAAGTGTTGATGCAGTTTTGCTTAGGTTCCAAAGTAAAGACTAATGATAGATTCAGATTAATGGAAATACCATGTCAGGCTAGAAGTTAGTGTATACCATAATGTTTGTCCCCTCATCTGTACAATGAATATTACCACTGTAGTGGGAATTAACTTTTCCATTATGTGTGAGCAATCTTTAGGATAGAGGTTAACATTCAACAGTCAGAAACATCAATCAAAATTCTTTTCTTTTGCACTTGTAGGAGCTCATAAAAGTTTTAATGATGAATATATTTTATTCAAAATGACATTAGTACAAAGAAAATAAAAATAATAATTACCTTGAATTGAGTTGTAAGAACTCTTCCTTTAATGAGCAATGTTGCATTTGAACACGTTAATGGGTCATACAAATCCTGATGTGAAGAGCTAGTAGGAATTTTTCTGTTTATGTTAATGAAAAAATATATATAGTCTTCTATTTCACAACTTTTGTGTGTGTAATTTTAATATTTGACTATTATTCATTGGGGCATGCATTTAGAGGATAGAAATAACAATTTTTTTCTGAAATTAATATTTTAATTTTCTGGCTACAGAAAATGTATGTCCAATTAAGAAAATTTGGGCTATGTAATAGTATAGTAAGAATCACATCTGGGCAGACCACTCACAGATCATTAACACTTCCATTAATTAATATATTCTTAACATTAATATTTATTATATATATATTGGTTTCCTGCTAGCTTTGTCTTTTTTCCTCCTACCTTTTCCTTTCCTCCGTCTATTGCTTTCTTCCTCTCTCCCTCTCTTCCTTCTTCCTTTATGTTCTTCCTTTCTTATTCCTTTTTTTCTCTCTTTGTCTCTTTATATTTATTCTTTTTATTATGTATCAACTGGCCTATCAGCCACATGATCTCTCATCTTTCAACATATTTATAGTTAAGGACATATTGCATATGCATCCTCCATTCATTTGCCTTTTTAGAAATTAATTTTTATTGTGAGCATTTTTAATATATTGAAATGTTAGCTATAAGTATAATTTTGAATGGTTTATAAAATTCCACAATAAAAAGGGCTTGACTAAATCACACCATTAATGTTGGCTTGAAATCCTTCTTTACATTGCTGTTTTTAAACTGCCTCTCTTTATTGTTGCTATAGGACAATGCCAGAATTGTTATCCCCCAAATGACTTTAAAATACTGCATACATCAACAAGGTATTTAGAATTTAGATTAACTTTCTATATATATTTAGAAATATTACCTGGACATATTTAATTTAATTTAATTTAGTTTGTGTGTGCGTGTGTTTATAAAGTTCAGCTATTATGAAAGAGTCATCACTTTCATGAAAAGAGATTATACTTACAGGAAATTGTGAACATCAATTTAATACATACGTAATTCATCATTTTTCAGCCATGTTTTCTAAAACCCTTCCAAATTGAGTGTGCCCACTGGGCCTCAGTCAGAGACATAAAGAAAAATGAAAACAAAAACAAATAAACTAGATTGAATTATATGAGCTCAGTAGAGTTATTGTGAAAAGGAATCAGCCTATATAACTATATATTTTTCTCATATTTTTATTAAGTAAAAGTTGTCATGCTGCCCAAACCAAAATTCTCTATGAATTCTTAAGCAGAAAAATAAATACTACGGTCATAGGTTATTTCCAAATCAAGGCCAAAACAAAGATTTTTAGAAAGAAAATTGGTGCTCCAAATAACCTATCTGAAAACGAAGTCTGTTGAGCCACCACAGAGAGCTGTAATAGTCATGTCTGGGGAATTCTAGGCATTCTGTAGCTGTTTGCTGGAGTTCAGAGTAATGAATCCAAGCAATCTCAATTGCCTTGCCTACTGTAGAATGGTTGTGCCTCAATTTTTTTCCTTTATTTTTCCATCTATGACTCAAGATTAAAAAGTACCAGACCGTGAAAGAATGCTACAGTGTTAGAGTTCATATGGCAGTAATTTCTCTTTGCTCTGCTGTGAATTCTCTTCCTTTTTATTCTTGCATTTTTCCCTTCCGTTTTATAAATGAAGTCTGAATCAGTTATTACTGCATAAGGTTAGGCTACTGATATGGACACCAAGAAAATTGTGATTTAGTAAAATAATAATGCATTAAACTTGGGTGGCACATTTCCTCACAACTTTCTTGAACATTAATCATCCTCAGACTTCCCCATCAGGCAGGAAATTTGGACAAAAAAGCAAAAAAAAAAAATGCTGAGAATTGTCAAACTTATTAAAAGCCAAAATGAAAGCAGAGGTAAAAGTTTTTCAAAAATAAACCACAGTTTTGCATTGGTATCTGCCTGTCTTATTTTGTAGCTAGACCAGCCCAGCTGGGGATAGAGCTTGCTCACTGACAGATTTATGCAATGGGAATAAAAAGTCAGGAAGGTGATAAAATACTATTCCCTGTGCTCTGACATAAATATCTGTAAGAAGGAGCAAGCAATTTTTTCAGAGGTCAATATTCTCTTAATTAATTTACTTTTATTACTTTTTTCAATGGGACATAAAGTTAGGGGTATATTTAAGAAGACCCCTCTCTGCACCAGAGAAGCATTGACCATTTACTCTATCCTCCATCTTTGAAAATAAATTCTAACATGATGGAATTGAAATTCAAGGATATACTCTGGGATTTAGAGATTTTGGTGGAACACAAGAAAAGTTTCAAGTATTTTGGGTATACTTCTTGTGATTTATTTTGGGTGTTTTTCTGAAACTGCTTTGTGTTCTCTTCTCTCTCTCTTGTATTCAATGCCCTCTACTAAGGAGAAAAAAGAACACACCTGTATTTGAACAAGTTGAGTTAATTTCCCATCGTAGCAAAGGACAATGCACATCATGGGGAATTGTGGAGCATCTCTGTAAATGGGTTTTAGAAATGACTTACTCTATCTGAACTTTGCTTTAGTGATTTTCGGGAGGATTGAAAGAAGTGGGCTTACTCTGGATTGGATGCTATCATAAAGTTTAGACAATTCTATGACTGAGTTTAATCTAGAAGGGAGATAGATGAGAGCAAGTCTAACACTGTTTCATAAGGAAATAGCATTCACTCGTATTAACTGGTTTAAAGAAATGTTTAGTCACTTATTTGATGTGGACAATGT
Organism: Homo sapiens; assembly: GCF_000001405.40. Classification (NCBI taxonomy): domain Eukaryota; kingdom Metazoa; phylum Chordata; class Mammalia; order Primates; family Hominidae; genus Homo; species Homo sapiens. The sequence goes on from NC_000003.12 coordinate 104,361,024, forward strand.
TCATATTTTGCCTTTGTACAGGAATTATTATGAAGTGGTCTTGCCTTAGTCTTGGTCTATCATGGTGACAGAATAGCCTTGTCTGATATTAACGTTTTCTGAGATTGTTTATGTCCAATAGAAGAATATCAAAGCCTAGTTGAAGAGCCAGACCACCCCATAGCAACACCAAGACTTAGCTGTTACTACTAGCAGGCTGACTCCTGGAACTCAGGTGTTGCCATTCTCTTTCTCTCTTCTTCACTACAATATCCCAGGCTTGAATCTCATGTCTTATGGAGAAGATATTCTAGGAAACCAAGCAGGCACTAGATGAGAAAAAAGAGAAGTCATAAGAGAGGAAACAGCTTAAATTATACTTTAGTATAGACAAAAGAAGGCATCAGGCTTCAGAAATAGCCTAATTTCAACAATATAAGAGATTGTAAACGTATCTGACTCAAAAGCAACATATGATCATGAATAGCATTCATTTTGACTTTAAGTACAATGAAAAGAGAGAGAAAGAATCTATTTAAGAACCAAGAACCTGAGACTAAGCAGAATTCAGAGAAGCTAGTCACATAAAGACACTATTTTTCCATAAGAATTGAGAAGTCCTGTGTAATTCTCATCTGTACCCATATATGATCATAATGCAGAAATAAATGTATTTCATTGGTGAGACATGGAATTTGTATTCAGATATCATACTTTTTCTATACGTTTTCTATGGTTAAAACTTTATATTATTTCACTCCATCACACATTTATGCATCAATTTATTTATTTCATGAAAGTGTCACCAATTCCACATGGCATACTAAGTGGATATTGATTGAATCAATCAAATACAGTTTCCGCCCTTTCGATGCCAACATTTCACATGGAAGAAACCAATTTTTAAAGTAATTTTAAAAACATTTTATTTATTTATTTATTTATTTATTTATTTATTTATTTATTTATTTTTGAGATGGAGTTTCACTCTTATTGCCCAGTCTGGAGTGCAATGGTGCGATCTTGACTCACCGTGAACTCCGCCTCCCGGGTTCAAGTGATTCTCCTGCCTCAGTCTCCCAAGTAGATAGGATTACAGGCATGCATCACCACGCCCGGATAATTTTGTATTTTTAGTAGAGACAGGGTTTCACCATGTTGACCAGGCTGGTCTCGAACTCTCGACCTCAGGTGATCCACCCACCTCAGCCTCCCAAAGTGCTGGGATTACAGGCATGAGCCACTGTGCCTGGCCTAGAAAAACATTTTTGAAAGAATTAATTGCTAGTATGGGCTTCTATCTTCCTCTCACATCAGAGCACTGAAGAAGTCAGCAAAATGAGAGAGAAGTGAATGGATTTGGAGAAAGTAACAACCTACATTAAAAATTATAAAAATCTCCTGAGGAGAAAAAAATTCATCTGTGATTTGGCGAGGGAAGAAAAGTACAGACCAGGACAGGTACTGTATTAGTCATGGTTCTCTAGAGGGACAGGACTAATAACATAGATATGTATCAATGTAAGGGAGTTTATTAAGGAGTACTGACTCACACGATCACTAGGTGAAGTGCCGCAATAGACCATCTGCAAGTTGAAGAGCAAGGAAGCCAATTCGAGTTCCAGAAGCTCAAAAGTACAGAAGCGGACAGTGCAGCCTTTAGTCTGTAGCCCAAGGCCCGAGAGCCCCTGGCAAACCACTGGTATAAGTCCAAGAGTCCAAAAGCTGAAGAACTTGGAGTCCAATGTTTGAGGGAAGGAAGCATCCAGCACGGGAGAAAGATGGAGGCCTGAAGACTCACCCCGTCTAGTCCTTCACATTCCTCTGCTGCTTTTACCCTAGACACGATGGCAGGTGACTAAATGCCGCCCACCCAGATTGAGGGTGGGTATGCCTCTCCCTGTCCACCAACTCAAATGTTAATCTCCTTTCGCAACACCCTCACCGACACACCCGGGAACAATATCTTGCATCCTTCAATCCAATCAAGTTGACACTCAATATTAACCATCACAGGTACCCAAATGTCACAGTAAAGAAAATGGTTTGGATAAAGCATTATAGGTAGTCTGTTTCTGTGCCCCACCATGCTAAGCAGGACAACACCAAGAAACCAGAGGCTCACTGGAGAGATGAGCAGATAATAATGGGTGATGCTAACCACCTCCTCATTCCCACAAACACAGACACACACACACTCATACACACCAATGCTAAAGAACCTTACTTTAAAAAATAACAACTCCTGGAAAAGAACATCATCTGTAGTGGAAGTTCAAGCAGTTACTATAGGAAGTAGAAGGATTGATGTTTGGAAACAGAACAGCCAGTAGGGGTGGTTCTTTGTTATATGTAATCCCTGTGCACACGTACATTAAAACACATACACATGCCCATAAACTTAAACACACCAGTAAAGGCAAAAGTTAGTCCTACAGCTTTGAAATTTCTCTCCAGTATACATTTCCAATCAAAGTACTTGATAGTCTAAGAAGAATAGAAGTAAATTGGCAGAAAATATACCAATAATTATAATTACTAGGTATATAATCAAATAAATAGCTGTTCAACTTGTATAAGTATGATAATTCATAGAACAAAGAAAGATCAGATAATTAAGATAAACAAATATTGTCAGAGAGATAGGAATTATAGGTCACAATGAACGTGAAGCTATGAAGGTGAAATGAATAAAGAAGTAGTTACAGATAAAGAAAAATTTAGTAACCTACAATAACAAGGTGAGAAACGCTCAAAAATAACTAACCAACTAACTGTGTATATAAATAAATAAAAGCACCAGAAAGGTAAAGTAGGATTTAAAAATATGCAATAAATAAAACAAGAGAAAAGAAACAGAAATTAACATATTAACATCTATGTCATTGGAATTCCTAAGATATGAAGAAAGCAAATATAAGGGGAAGAATTTTAAAAAAAAACAACACTGCAGATTTGCAACAATTAATAATAATGAATTTCCGATTAAAAAGACTAATAGAGAATGAACCAGATACGTGAAGCTAGTCTGTACCTAGACACTTTACAATGAAAATAAAACCAAGGGATTATCAAAAGTAATTTGAAGTATTCCAAAAAGAGAAGAATAGAAATATATTGCCATAATATTTGAAATATATTAATTAGAATAAATAATAAAATGGAGTAATAAGTTCAAAACATTAAAGACAATTTGAACATAAACTTTTATTTAAGTTAAATATATATATATATTTTTTTGAGATGGAGTCTCGCATTGTCACTCGGGTGGGAGTGCAATAGCACGATCTCTGCTCACTGCAACCTCCACCTCCCGGGTTCACGCGATTCTCCTGCCTCAGCCTCCCAAGTTGCTGGGATTACAGGCGCCCGCCACCATGCCCGGCTAATTTTTTGTATTTTTAGTAGAGACAGGGTTTCACTATGTTGTCCAGACTGGTCTCGAACTCCTGACCTCGTGATCCGCCCACCTCGTCCTCCCAAAGTGCTAGGATTATAAGCTTGAGTCACTGCACCTAGCCAGATAAAATAATTTTCTAAATGTGAGAGTACAATCAAGATATTCTGAGATGGATAAAACTGCTGAAATTGAACTCTACAATTATTTAAAAAATATTCTCGGAGTATATAGTCTAATTAGCAGATACATAAATCTAAGAGAAAGCATTAAGATATAAAGGTAATATTAGAGATTAAATACAAAAAATTATTTTCTAAAACTTCCAGTACGAAACAAAATTACATATTTTAGAAGAGATAATTAGTCTTTTGAAAATGTCCAAAAATACACAAATGAGTTTTTATAAAAGCAAAATTAAAGGAAAAAGAAAGGCTCACCTTGTTAGATAATAAGACGACAGCATACATTCTAGTACTTGCAACAAATTCCTAGTACTCAAAACAACATGGAACTAGATTAGAAACAGCAAATAGATTGATGAAATAGAATAAACAGAAAAAAAAATCTTCCTCTCCCTCTCTGTCTACATATATAAGAATATTATATGGTAAAGGGAGAAAAATATGGATAACTTTAATAGATGTCATTGAGGAATTAATACAGTGTGGAACATAATAAAGCTGAATTCATGCCTTTCACCATATATATATGTAAATTTACTCCGTATATCTATGCTCACAAGTGGAGTAAATTTGTTGTGAGTTACAAATAGAAAAGTATAATTAACTGAACTTTTTGGAAAGTACAAAAATAAAGGGAAGGCAAGAAGACACAAAAAGAACCTTTAAAAGCTAATATGTATTTGGTGTTTTACAAACAATAAAATCTATATACACTTTATTTATTCCAGTCTTACAATAATTTTTAGAGCATAGTCAACAAGCGACAGTTACAACAATCTAGGTGCTTTAATTTCATTGTCATTTGTATCAGTTATGTATAAAGCCATGATATTAGAAGAAAGATTCATATGTAAAAAAAAAATTTTGTTTGGACCTTAATACTCTCTATTGATGTTTTCCTTTTAAACAAGGAATATACATCAGAGAGATAGGAATTATTTTTTGCTTTGTGTTCAGAAAGTTTCACGTAATACCATTTTGTAATATTTGTATAAATATTGCCTTGTAAAATAACTTATGTAATAGCATTTTATATGTTAGTTCATATTTATTTTTTTCCTTTAATTATTATTATACTTTAAGTTTTAGGGTACATGTGCACAATGTGCAGGTTAGTTACATCTGTATACATGTGCCATGTTGGTGTGCTGCACTCATTAACTTGTCATTTAGCATTAGGTATATAAACTCAGTCCTTAGAAGAAAAATATAAAGTCACTAATAATCCTTGGCATATACTTGAGGATAAATACTTTGGTATCAAATTATGTTCTTATAAAACAAATTAAAAGGACTGGGCACAGTGGCTCATGCCTGTAATCCCAGCACTTTGGGATGCTGAGATGGGTGGATCACCTGAAGTCGGGAGTTTGAGACCAGCCTGACCAACATGGTGAAACCCCAACTTTACTAAAAATACAAAAATTAGCCGGGCGTGGTGGTGCGTGCCTGTAATCCCAGCTACTCAGGAGGCTGAGGCAGGAGAATCGCTTGAACTCGGGAGGCAGAGGTTGCAGTGAGCCGAGATCATGCCACTGCACTCCAGCCTGGGCAACAGAGTGGGACTCTGTCTCAAAATAAATAAATAAAATAAAATAAAATAAAAGTATTTCTAACTTGAATTTTCCACAATTTGCACCTGTATTCTTGGCTAAGATACAGTTAAATTTTTTCTGCAAGTGAATATACAAAGGAAGATTATGAAAGGAAAATAATTGTTTCAGATGCTTATCCAAAAATTACATTATGCAATTTTTCACTTCTTCCTTTTTTTCCAATGCATTATACCTAAACCCAAAATGGAATCCTATTTAGCATTACCACTAAACATCATATATTTTTTATAACTAGGTAAAATTTGGAAAAATCATTAAATTTGTCTCAAATTTTATTCAATGTTTGTTCTAGAAACTAAGTTCATACAAGACATAGTTGATGAGACTCTTACATAAAAGTTACTGATTTTTGGAGAAATATTAGAATATATTAAATAGTTTTAAAAGAAAAATAGAAATATTTCCATCTTAAAACAAATGTATGTTTCAATAAGCACTTGTAGGAAAATCCTCTTATTAAGAAATCTTAGATATAAAAAGAATATTTATATTATCTGAATCTAAGGGTCAGCATTCCATAACGGCTACATGAATATACATGAATTTGATTTATTTAGAAAAAAAGGAAGAAAGAGAGAGAGAGATTAACAGACTTAATCAGGAAACCAAAGATTTTTTTAAGCAATTACATTTGTTAAAATTTAGTTATTACCATTTTCCAACAAAGGGAATCAAACATATAGAAAATATATATATACTTCAAATAAGAATTGTGTCTTTAAAATTACTTATATTCTCTTAAAACATCTAATAAAGTTCAAATATTTACTTGAAGTCTGGTGCGGAGTTTTGGCCTTAATACACTTCCACTATGAGGTTAATAGAAATCCAAAATTCCAACTAAGCTCTTCTCCAGAACTTTCGAACATCTGTTAATCTTTCTTCATACACTGATTGCTATCTATGATGATAAGGGAGAATTCAGGACATTTTTAAAGTAGCAACTATCCATCTATTGCAATCTAGTCACAATGTTCCATGCAGAATAGACAGAAGGGGCCCAGAGCCAAAAAATTCTGACATTTAAAAGGTCTTGACATTTTCCAGAGACTCATGCCCAATTACAAGCCAAGGATAGTTCACTCTCACAACAGAGCTATTGTGTAGCTGTGCAGCACAACTCTGTTTCCGATTATTTCCTCTTTCTTTATGACACCACGATTGGAAAGGTCAAGAGTTTGCCATTAGTTTTTCACCCAACACTTTGAAACGGACTCTTTTCAGCCATTTATTATGATTATTCATTAGAAGTTTTCTATATCACTGAAAAGACACATCTTCAATTGAAAATAATTTGAAGAATGAATTATTAAATAATCCACCAACTATGTTTCACATTCTTTTAATTCACTTTAAAAATGTGTACATTGCTTGTCATACATGTATGGTTTCCATGTTGATTATACAATGTGCCTTTGATTTCTTCTCATCTGGTCTCTAACCATCATTAATAGAATGGCATGTATTTGTTCTACATGTAGTATTATTATTAGTGTATCTGTCTGTAACTATATATGGGACAATATATTGTGAATATTATATTCAAATAATTTATCTATTTGGAGAAATTCAACTATGAAAGCTGTGAATAAGTGAAATGCACTTGAACTAGCCAAGGTCTAAAGGGAATGCATAATAGAGATACAGAGTGCCACAGAAATCTCAGGAAAAGGATCCTAGACCTCAGAATTGCATTGGCCTATGACCTCACATGATTATTTCCATAATCTCGGTTATTTAATACTGCAATTTGGACTCAGACTCTGGTTTTGTGAGTGATAATCTAATGCTCATTTTAGCATAAAATTAGAATTAATCTAAAAGCAATCAGAAGTCTCATGGGTGTTTCACATAACTGAAATATATATCTCCTTAGTAGCCCATTCATTTTTTTCCTTTTGAATTAAGCTCTTATGAAAAGATATGCATTCATATAAAGAAATCTAGAAGGACAATGGCAGATGTAATGCTTTTAAATAGCAATTGCAATGAACATTTGTGGACCTTTCCTGAATGCATTTGTGCTGAAGGAGTAAGGAATATGCCATCCCAAAATACGTTACTCTGGCATATTGACTATTTTGAGGTAAGGACTTGAAAAACAGCAGGTGTAAGAAGATCACTCTAAACTTCATGCTGTTTCTTAAAAATCAGGAGATGAAATTCTCTTGTAAAAAATGTCCTTTTCTTCAAGACCAAAAGGAAAATATCATTCTTATCATCAAGGACAGGAAGTTGAGGTTAAGAGAAATTTGTACAAACCAACCTTGTTACACTAACTTATCTTTCTAACAATTTCTTCACTCAACACCCTCACCCAAGTCCCTTTGCATGCTTTCTCATTTTCATAATTTACTACTCTTTGTTTAATTCAATACATAAGGGTTCAATTCCAACTGCATTTTTGGGTCTTCATTTCATTATTAGAGCTCCCAAATCACATAAAACTTATAACAAATAAATGTTTATGCTTTTCTCTTGATGTTGATCTTTATTTTATCCCAAGAAGGTAAAGGTAAAAATTTGCCTTCTCTACAGTACTTACTGGTACAAATGCACTTTAGTAAAATCATCACAGATATCACAAGTCTTTGTATGGGTGTTATGTGAAACAATGTGTGTGCCTCTAAGAGGAGAAGCACAAACCCCAAATCCACACATAGCCAACACACAATCTTCTGCTTCCTCTTGTGTAGGGCACTGGTTCAAGGAAAAAGTGAAATGCTAAATAACCAATATTGTAGAAGTATGACTAAGCATTTTTTAGCAAGAGCACCTCAGCAATTTTTATAGTAGTGATGGCTAAAGACAGGGCTCTCTTCAATTGCCTATCTGACTTCTGTTCTATGATAACACACACTAACTTGCATGTTTGGTGGTGAATATGTAATGACTATATTGCAGACATTGTGTTTTTTTTTTAATAGAAACACACCTAGCTGGCAAAATCCTATTCAAGTAAATTCTAAAAATTGAATTTCTGTTGAAGATTCCAAATGATACATGGGCTTCATCTTTCTCTGGTGACTTCTCAATATGAAAGTGTAAACTGAAGACAGGGTCAGAAGTTTATAGTCAGAAAGATTTTGAAAGATTGGATGTTATTTTTAACTATTCCTACTTGATATAAGAAATCCATGGCAACAAAAAACATAAATTATAATTCTTCTCCCTAATTTTACCAGGTAAGAGTAAATGTTCTTGTCTTCTGTAATAAGAAATTCCCTGTGGCATTTTTAATATATTATCTTGTATTGTATACTTTATAACACACTTTGTTCTAATTAATTTTTCCCATCACCTCTAAGATTTTTAAAGTCTAGAATAAAATGTAATTTTTTTGGTAACTGCTACAGTACCTAATTCACCCCGGATGCTCAGCAAACATTGGATCATCACCCATAACCCCTGATTGATCTGCTATTACATCAAGAGGAAAGGAAGAGTGGAGCAGAGCTTGACAGCTGGGGCAAAGCCATGGAACTTATGGAATACAGAGATGTGCCCTCTATAAGACTGCAGTAATCTATTAATAGAGAAAAGACTGTACAGTTCTGGAAGAAGGTGAGTGGTTAAGGTCTGATCCAGACAGGTTGCTGTTTGGGGAAGAAAGAATTTTACTTGGAAAAGAAAAAGAAAAATACAGTGTATGCTATTTCTTCCTTTGGGAAAAGAAATGTAGTGTCAAGTAAATTTGCAAGTCATAAAATCTCCATACCATTCAACAAATATTCTACATGTGACCCTATGGATGCCTTATCATAAGGATTGAAATATGCCTGGAGATCTCTAACATAAAATTGTAAAGAATGGGCAGTCAGTAGGCTGTGCCTAAATGTGACAAGGAGGAATATAGATGAGGAAGAATAATAAAAAACAACAGAGACCAAATATTTCTAAATGGATTATGAGAAGATGGCACATGTAGTGTATTTACATATTTCTTAGAAACTGATACAAATAATTTAGTTAGCTCCCTCTGCAGCTATGTTTACAATCTGTATAATGTGCACTTGCTTTTTTTGCCTGGAAAGTCAATTTTCTTCTCGTTTAGAAAGTTGTAAAAGAACAGAGAATTGCAGATACACAAGATGTGTTGAAAACAGGATATATTAACTTCACATTTTCTTACTAGAAAGCCTTTCTACTGTTGTGAAAAGAATAAAATCTAATACATAACTTTGGAAGCATTTTTCATAAGCCTTCATCATAAGCTCTTCATTCGTCTCAGGAGGAAATTGAGTTTTGTATTAGAAAAATGTTACTGGAGTACATTTAGTTTCTATATTTTCATGGCTTTGATTCAGAAATGTGAGGTAGCATAATGTATTCACGAAATCCAATAATGAATCATATGTGTATGTTTTAAAATTTCAACCCATTTTATTTTATAATCATAAGTATGTGAATCACAGATATCAAATCATGGAAAAAGAAACCATAGAACTTGGAAATCATAGAAGATGGCTCAACTAAAAGAAAAATCCATCTAATTAAAAATAATTATAATACCTTTCAAATGCCTCCAGATATGCTAGTCTCTATCTTAACAACAGGATTTTAAGTATAATGAATTTATGTACTTCTTATTCTTACAAATGTATTTCCTGTGGTGTATGCATAAACGAGAAATACTAAATTAAATATTAGACATTGATTCTCTGATGTTTGAAGCCCGTTACCTATTGAGCATTGTTCTTCAAAGTGCAATGCAAATGACGCTTTTAAGATTTTTTGTTTCATTTTGCTTTCTGATTTAAAAATATAAAAATGGCATTAAGAACCTTCATAGATATGCTACTCAAAAGATGCTAAATTTACTTAAACAAAATGTTAATTATTTAAACATTTTTGTTCTAATTGTCTCATCTGCTCCTTTCTTCCTTTCCTGCCTTCTTTTCAGATAATCAAATACAAGTGGTAACCGACATGCAATGGTTCCACTTACCAGTTTTTTTACTTTATAATACTTCAAAAATGATACAGTTATTCTGTTTTTCACTTTCAGCGTGCTTGTCAATAAATTACATAAGATATTCAACCCTTTATTATAAAATAGGCTTTGTTTTAGGTGATTTCTCCCAACTGTAGACTAGGTAAGTATTCTGAGCACATTTAGGGTAGGCTAGGCTAAGCTATGATATTCAGTGGGTTGTATTAGTTGCATTTTCAGCTTATGATATTTTCAACAATGTGTTTATCACCCTAAGTCAGGAAACATCTCTACTTTTGCATTCCACATTGTTTGCTCTATTGAATTTTTCAGCTATACCTCTTTGCACTATTTTTTAAAGTTACGCTAGGGATTACAATTTGTTACAGTCAACGCTAATAAATCTACTTCACTAATAAGGTGAGCACTTTACAATTGATTAATTCCATTTATTTCTTTTTATACAGTTATGCAATTGTGTATACATTATAAATCCCACCATACACATATTAATTTAGACTTAAACAATGAATAATATTTTAAATAATTTTAAATACTCTTTCGTATTTATCCACATATTTATGATTTCCATTTGTCTTTCTTTCTATGGAAGGAAGGATTATCCAGGCTTCCATCTGGGATTATTTCGCCTCAAAATAAAGATACTTCTTTTGTATTTTTACAAATTTTTTGTATTCAGCACAAAATTCTTTTTAAGTTTATATTTCTTGGAAAATGTCCTTGTTTCACTATCAATTTTAAGAGAGATGTGGGATATGAAATTTATTTTTTCAGAATTTTAAAAATGTTACTTTTCTCTTGTTCCTATTGTATCTGACAAAGGGGGCAACCATTATACTTTTTTTCCCTCAGAATTCATCGTATATATTTTTCATGACCTAATTTAACATTTTTGTATTTTTGAGTTTCATCAGGTTGGGTATATCGCACTTGGTTGTAGTTTTCTTTGTATCTATCCTGCTTGGAGTTCATTAAGTTCTTGGATCAGTCAGTTAACATTTTTCATGAATTTTGGAAAATTTCTGTTGTATGTTTTCTCTCCTCTCCTTCCTGAATGCCAATCATCTCTAGATTCCCTATTTCGATATATTCTCACAGGCCTCAGATATTCTAGTCTTTTATTATTACGTTTCCATCTGTACTTCAGTTTGTACAATTTGTATCATTCTTATTTCATTTAAATATTTATTTTGCTTTGTCCAGTCTATTTCCAACTAAGATTGTTTATAAAGATATTGTATTTGTTTCTTTAACGTTTCCATTAGAATCATTTATTTAGGGATATCTTTCCTTTTTTGAATGTCCCCATTTTTCACCCATTTTTTCCTGTTTTCCTATAAACTATTTTAAACTCTCCAATTGTTATATTAAAGTCCCTGTCAGTTAATATCAATATCTGTGCCATCTATAAGTCTACTCAGCTTAACTGCATTTATTTTACTTCTGATTGGAAGTCCTATTTGCCTCTTTTTATAATAAGTAGCTAATTTATTGCATATAGATGTTACAAATGATATGTTATAAAAACTGGATTGCATTATCTTCTCTTATAGATTATTGAGTTGTTCTGGGGGGAATTTCTATTACTGTTAGATTACTTTGATCCTGTCTTAACTTAGTTTTAGGTTGGGGAGGTGGTTCTGTTTCAGTTGTGTTTTCAGAATTTATGTGCAAAACTTTTTTATAGAATATGATTTTTATTTTTACATTTTTTTCTGGTTGATGAAAGCTCGAAATTCAAATATCTTCTCAGTCATTTACCTCAAAAATATGCTTAATTCTCAGATGTTACCTGCTAATGATTACATAATCCTGTTCTTTAAATGTGTAGTTTAGGATTCAGTCAAAGACCAAAGAGCTCCACTACACAGATTTCTTAATCTTCTCCACTGCAAGCCCTTCCCATTGGGTGCTGTTCCCCACAAAAAAAGCTACCACTTTGTCACCTTTTTGATCTGTTTGTTTTGCCCAACAAGATTGCTGCTGCCTGTTAAAGCTATACTTTTAAGGGTTAGAAATGACGCCAACCAGAAGCCAGTTGATGATATGTGCAGAGCTCACCTTTGAGCCATCCCTTCTTCAAGTTTCAGAGCCCTTTGCTGTCTGTTTTCTAATAAACGAAAAGAGTTCCTCAAAAGGTTTGTTGAGTTTTAGAATTGTCCAGAGTAGTAAGGTAAGTCCAATACCAGCTCTGTGGTTCACAGACAAACCCAGAAGTTAACATGAATTTATTTTTAAAATACCATTTTATGTAGATTGTAGTGATTCTCCTATCAGCTGCAGAAAGTTTACTGTGGTTGTTTTTTATTGTTTCTAGTGAACTTTATTGTCATTTTTTATCATGACTAATATGTTTTCATTACTTTAAAAAATACTGGACTTTGTAATTTTAAAAGTCCATTGATTTTTTTTCGTGAAAAATAGCAATTTTTGTTTTCTCTTTTTCTGGGTATCATTTTTGTTGTTGCTGTTACTTTATCCTCAGGAGTTAAGTTCAATTAAAAATATTGCCCAAAGGCCAAAATTAACAAATGAGATCTAAATAAACTAAAGAGCTTCTGCGTAGCAAAAGAGACTATCATCAGAGTGAACAGGCAACCTAGAGAATGGGAGAAAATTTTTGCAATCTATCCATCTGACAAAGGGCTAATATCCAGAATCTACAAGAAATTTAAACAAATTTACAAGAAAAAAACAAATAACCCCATCGAAAAGTGAGCAAAGGATATGAACAGACACTTCTCAAAAGAAGACATTTATGTGGCCAACAAACATGAAAAAAAGCTCATCATCACTGGTCATCAGAGAAATGCAAATCAAAACCACAATGAGATACCATCTCACACCAGTTAGAATGGTGATCATTAAAAAGTCAGGAAACAACAGATGCTGGAGAGGATGTGGAGAAATAGGAATGCTTTTACACTGTTGGTGGGAGTGTAAATTAGTTCAATCTTTGTGGAAGACAGTGTGGAAATTCCTCAAGGATCTAGAACCAAAAATACCCTTTGACCCAGCAATCCCACTACTGGGTATATACCCAAAGGATTATAAATTATTCTACTATAAAGACGCATGCACACTTATGTTTATTGCAGCACTGTTCACAATAGCAAAGACTTGGAACCAACCCAAATGCCCATCAATGATAGACTGAATAAAGAAAATGTGTCACATATACACCATGGAATACTATGCAGCCATAAAAAAGGATGAGTTCATGTCCTTTGCAAGGATATGGATGTATGAGGCTGGAAACCGCTATTCTCAGCAAACTAACACAGGGGCAGAAAACCAAATACAACATGTTCTCACTCATAAGTGGGAGTTGAACAATGAGAACACACGGACACGGGAAGGGGAACATCACACACCGAGGCCTGTCGGGGGTGAGGGGCTAGAAGAGCGATAGCATTAAAAGAAATACCTACTGTAGATGATGGGTTGATGGGTGCAATAAACCACCATGGCACGTGTATACCTATGTAACAAACCCACACGTTCTTCACATGTATTCCAGAACTTAAAGTATAATATTTTTTTAAAGTTGCCATATTATATTTTAATATTAAATAATTAAACTACATTTATTTTCTTGCCTTGAGCATTATGTAAAATTAGAAGATACTGTGTTCATCTCAATCTCCCATGTCATCAATTTACTCTTAAACTGTATTACTTCTAATTCAAGCATATTTATATAATTCCTTCGAGTTTAATATTCATATTAATATAAACTTTTTAGACTTCTTTGCAAATTTTTGTTGGTTTCAGTATCTATGGCTTTTTCCTTGAAATAATATTTTGATTCCTGAATTCTCTTTTTGTTCATTTATAATTCTACTGTAATATTTTTTCAATTACTGCTTTTCAGAAAGGTCAAATAGATGAACAGTTTATGTCTCAGTGGACTACAAAATATAGTTTTTACCTCACTTATGCAAACTAATTTTACTGCCTAAGAAATGCTTGAGTCACATTGTTTTTAAAAATTTACATTTATCCGTTATTTTATGACATTTATAGTTATGGAGAACAACACTGACTCCAGAGTTGTTCATCACGAACAAAGCGAATGCTAAAACCAGCCTGCTTTTGTTTTGTTTTAATGGGCTAGTTGTTTTCTTTCTATTTTATTTTATTAGATTTTATCTTTATCTTTGAAATTTATGAATGTTATAAAATATGTCATAGCATACATTCCTATAATACATAATACAGTTACTTGTGGATTCCATTTGTTTTGAAGCCTAAATCTTTTATTCTATTTATATATTTTTAATGAAACTGTTTATAAAGAGGTCATTGTAGAGTCCCCTATACTTACAAGAAATCATACAAAAAGATCTCATATATCGTTTATCTAATTTCCCCCAAAAGTAATATGCAAAGCTATAGTACAGTACCACAACCAGAATGTCAACACTGATGCAATCCTCTAATCTTACATAGATTTCCCAGTTTTGTTTGTACTCATTTGTGTGTGTGCACATGCATGAGTCTAGTTCTGTACAATTTTGTCACATGTGCACACTCATGTCTCCATCACCAGCCAAGAAACAAAACAGATCCATAACCAGAGAGAGCCCTGATATTGTCCTTTTAAAATCATATGCATCTAGCTCTCCAGCTCCATCAACATTCCGAACCCCTGATTATCACTATTCTCTAGTTTTAAAATTGTGTCTTTTAAAAAATTTAATATACATGGAACCATATAGTATATAATTTTTTGGAGTTGTCTTCTTTTTCACGCACCACAATTTTCTGGAAATTATATTTCACTGTGTTATTACTCCTATTCCAACTTTTCTGTTTCTCATTCCAATGTTTTCTTGTACCTGTGTGTGCTGTACTTTATGTCTCTTCTCTTTTCTTTTCTGGAACCAGAGTCATCAGATCTTTTTGAGTTTTGAGATTCTCGAATATAAATGCATATTAAATAATTTGGATTTTTGTCAAATATGTGCAATTGTTACTACTTCTAACACATCTTAAAATTCTATAAACAATGTTGTTCTCTCATAAAAAAGTTCTTCTGTTAAGAAATTTTTAGCTAGATCCTCCTTCATAGAAGCAATATTTTCTTGTGCATCAATAAAAATACCAGTTTAAGTGTATTTCAGAAATTCACCTATACAAGAACTATTTTCTCTAATTATTTACATTAGTCTCATTATTCTGAAATATTATTTTTTACAATACCCTTTGATTATTTTTCATTCATTTGTAACGAGAGATTACAATATCAGTAACGCTGTTCATTGATAGTGCTATCACAAATGTCTAAAATACTTTTGGGTCAACATCAAAATTAGAAAGAAACTTACAAAGTTTTATTTGCTTTATGGTTTAGGGTGCTGGAGGAAGTTGGAGGTAGTCTTACATAGGAGCTTTTCTACTTATTTGTTTTTGTTTTGTTCTGTTTTTCCTATTTGCTGTCAACTGAATTTTTCCCTCACCCACCAGTCATATGTTAAAGCCTTAACTCCAGTGTAATGGAATTTGGAGATAATCAGGCTTAGATTAAGTGTTGAGGTCTAGAGGTCATCCTCATGATGAAATGAGTGTCCTTACAAGTGCTCTCCTAAGAAGAGGAAGAGATATCCGTGCACTCTCTCTGCTATATGAAAATGTTTCAAGAAGGCAGACACCTACAATTCAAAGATAAAGCCCTCACCACACACCAATGCTGCTGGCATTATAATATTAGGCTGTAAAAACTAAGAAAATAAATGTATGTTTAAGTTATATAATCTTTAGTATTTTGTTATAGGAGGCTGAACACACTACATTAACATACAAGTGTTAATTTTGTATTATTTGTTTTTTTGAAATCTAAGACTTTGGTGGAAAGGTAGCAAACTTTTATTACTGGGGAACTGCTTTTAAAGTAACCAATCATAGATGTGATCATCACTTATGACTCTTTACCATGGGTGGCTTTCCCACTATTAATAAACTTCCAGGAGCGATTCAAATAATTGATATTTTCTAGTTATTAACTGTCCGGCATCATTACATTGCTTCTAAGTAATACCTCAAAAGATAAGAGTCAATCATAGGCATATGCTATACTAATGTTATTTGTGAGGAGTTTTGATGTTATCTATTGTGAACTTCAAATTATGTATACATTTCCTCCATCTAGTTTTGCAACTACTGTAAGTTGCATTACTTCTTCCAACTTTCAGAACTTTTTAGAAAATAACTTTAGTTTCTAGTATTTTGGGAGGCTGAATAGTGGACCCCAAAGATATCCAAGTCTTATTTCCTAGAACCTTTGAATATGTTACCTTACATGGAAAAAGGGACTTTACAAACATAATTAAGTGCAAATCTTGAAGTGGGCAGATTATCTTTAGCTACTGGTAGTCTCAATGAAAAAGCAACAATCTTTATACAAGGGAGGCAGGAGGTCCACACAGACAGACGTGCAATGACAGAAGAAGAAGGACAGAGAAAGAGATTGGGAGATGCTATCTTGCTGGCTTTGAAGATGGAAGATTGAATAAAAAGGCTGAGGAATGCATGAGGCTTCTAGAAACTAGAAAAGACAAGGAAAAAGATTATCTTCTAGATTCCCCAGAAGGAAGGTGGTCTTATCAATCTATTTTAGAATTTCTGACTTCCAAAATTGTAAGAAAACAAATTTGTTTTCAGCCACAAACTTTGTGATAATTTGACTACAGCAATAGAAAACTATTGCAAATACTAATATTTTGTGTTCTAAATGAGTTCAATAAAAAGTATGTTTCATTGGTTAACTTGCTGGTGATGAGATTGTGTGGGTGTATATTTGATTTGGTTTAAACTGTAAGCCAAAATATGTAACAGTAATATTTTAATAAGAACTAGATTCATACAAGGTCTTGTGGTTTATAAAGAAGTATACACATCATCTTTAACTGTTTTCAGAACAAAGCAGATTAATAGTATATCTTCATCTACTTACAGAATACTTTAAAAATAATTCAGAAATAAATATTTATATCTAGTGATACAGTTTGAATATTTGTCCTCTCCAAATCTTATGTGGAATTTTAATCCCCAATGTCGAAGATAGGCCTGGTGGGAGGTGTTTGGGTCATTTGGGGCAGATTTCTGATGAATGATTTAGAGTTTTCCTCGTGACAGTGAGGAGTTCCCATGAGATCTCGTTGTTAGAAGTGTGTGCCACCTCCCCGCTCTATCTTACTCCCTCTCTTGCTATGGGACATGCCTGCTCCCCTTTTGTCTTCTGCCATAAATGTAAGCTTCTTGAGGTCCTCACCAGATGCGGATGCCAGTACCATGTTTCCTGTATAGCCTGTAGAACTATGAGCTAAAACAAACCTATTTTCTTTATAAATTATCCAGCCTCAGGTATTTATAGCAACTCATAAACAGCCTAATAAAGAAAATTGGTGCCAAGGAGGAAAGCATTGCTACAAAGTTGTGTGAAAATGTAGAAGCAGCTTTGGAACTGGGTAATGGAGAGAGGCTGGAAAAGTATGAGGGGCTCAGAAAAAGACAGGAAAATGAAGGAAAGTTTGGAACTTCTTAAAGACTAGTCAAATGGTTATTGCCAAAATGATGGTACTGATAGAAACAGTAAAGTCCAGGCTGAAGAAGTCTCAGATGGAAATGAGAATCTTATTGGGAATAGGCGTAATATGCAAGAACAGCCTTATACAGGGAATTGGTGCCAAGGAGTCGGGCATTGCTATAAAGATACCTGAAAATGTGGAAGCAGCTTTGGAACTGGGTAATGGGAAGAGGTTGGAAGAGTCCAAAGGGCTCAAAAAAAGGCAGGAAGATAAAGGAAAGCTTGTAACTTCTTAGAGATTGATTAAATGATTGTGACTAAAATGCTGGTGAGAATATGAACAGTGAAGTCCAGGCTGAAGAGGTCTCAGATGGAAATGAGGAACTTGTTGGGAATGGGAGCAAAAGTCACCCTTGTTATGCCTTAGCAAAGAACTTGGCTGCATTGCGTTCATGCCCTAGGGATCCGTGGAAGTTTGGACATAAGAATGATGACTTAGAGTTTCTGGCAGCAGCAAAGCATCCAAGACATGACCTGACTGCTTCTACAGCCAACTTTCAGATGTGAGAGCAAATAAATAACTTAAAGTTGAAGCTTACATTTTAAAGCAAAGCAGAGAGTAAAAGTGGAAAATTTGCAGCCTTGCCATGTGGTAGAAAAGAAAAGCCAGTTTTCAGAGGAAAAGTCCAAGCAGGCTTCAAAGAAATCACTTGCTAGAGTGATTAGCATAGCCAAAAGAAAGCCAGAAGCTAATAGCCAAGACAATGGGAAGAAGTCCTCAATGATATTTCAGGGATCGCCAAGGCAGCCCCTCCTGTCACATGCCCAGAGGTCTGGGAGGAAAGGATGGTTTCAGGGGCTAGGCTCAGAGCACTGGTCAGCCTCAGGAAACTGCTCTCTGCATCCTGGCCACTCCACCTCCAGCTTTGGCTTAAAGGAACCAAGTACAGATTGGTCCCAGCTCCACTGGTTGCAAGCCATAAGTCTTGGTGGTTTCCACAAGGTGCTAAGTGTTCAGATGTTCACAATGCAAGCATGAAGTAGGTTTGGGCTTCCACCTAGATTTCACAGGATGTATGGAAAAAGCTGGGTGCCCAAACAGAAGCCTGCCACAGGATCAGAGCCGCCATAGAGAAAATCTACTAGGGCAATGATGAGGGGAAATATGGGGTTGGAGCCCATATAGAAACTCTTCTACCGGGGAATTGCCTAGTGTAGCTGTAGGAAGGTGACTACCACCCTCCAGACCTCAGAATGTTAGATTCACCAACAGCCTGCACCCTTTGCCTGGAAAAGCCACAAGCACTCAGTTCCAACCTGTGAGAGCAGCCATGTAGGCTGCACCATTCAAAGCCAAAAGAGTTAGGCTACCCAGGGCCTGGAACACCACCCCTTGAGCCAGGATGTGGGACATGAAGTCATGGATTATGTTGGAGAGCTTTAAGATTTAATACCTGGGTTTCAGACTTGTGTGGGGGCTAATACCTGTTTCTTTTGGTCAGTTTCTCACTTTGGCAACAGAAATGTTTACCCGATGCCTATACTGCCATTGTATTTTGGAAGTAAATCACTTATTTTAATTTTACAGACCCACAGGTGGAAGGAAATGAAACTCAGATGAGAATTAGGACTTTGAACATTATGTTGAATCAAGTTAAGATTTTAGGGGACTACCATAAAGAGATTATTGTATTTTGCAACGTGAAAAGGACATGATATTTGAGAAACCAGAGGCTGGATGATATAGTTTGCATGTTTGTCTCCTCCAAATCTCATGTTGGAATGTAATCCTCAGTGTTGAAGGTGGGGCCTCGTGGGAGGTGTTTGGGTAATGGGGGTGGATGCCTCATGAACACCTTAGTGCTGTCCTCATGATGGAGTTAGTTCTCATGATATCTGATTGTTTAAAAGTGTGTGGCACCTCCCCACTTTCTCTCGTTTCTTCTTGCCACGTGACATGCTTGCTCCCCCATTCACCTTCTGCCATGATTGCAAGCTTCCTGAGACCCTCACAGCAGCAGATGCCAGCACCATGCTTCTTGCATAGCTTGCAGAACCATGAGCCAAAATAGACTTATTTTCCTTATAAATTACTCAGCCTCAGATATTTCTTTATAGCAGTTGAATAAAATATAGCTAATACAGCTAGCTTGTCATCAATAACTACATCTGTAATATAGATATGTGAAATCCACAAGACAAGTGGATACATCCAAGAAACTTACCTAATAATATTCTTTGAATTTAGGGTGGTGCCAGAACCATGTTGAGAGAGAGAGAGAGAAAGAGAAGAAAGTTAGAGAATCACAGATCTGATCTCATGATCTCACCTATAGAATAACCTAGAAAGGGAAATAATAGTGACTCTTTTGGACGTATGTGATCAATAAAAATAACACAGTTGGGCTACCTACAAGGACAATCTCAAAAAAAATAGCTGAAGGATTTTTCTATAGACGTAATAGATTTTTGTTTGTTTGTAATTCTAAAACTCATGACTGGAACTTATGTATTTGCAAGACGAGGTAGATTACTTTTTTCTCCCCCTAAGTATAAGCAAAAACCCTCAATATTATGTGTAAGACAAACATAAGAAGACTCCAAAAGATGGAGAGAGGAAAGGAAAGTTGCTAGAGACCCAAGAAACATATCTGAATTTTCTTTTTGACTCATGTATTGCAGTCTGAATGCTAGAGAAGCTGACAAACTGAAAATGACAGTAGGAACAGTAAGTCCAAGAAAAGCTTCTTCTCCTCTACCAAAGGAATAGAAAAGTGTCATCCTAGCAAGGCAGAAACATTCAGACAATTACTATTCTGCTCTAGCCAAACAACACAAAAAATAATTATAACACCTACCTCCCCAAAACACACACACGTGCCAACAATGTTGAGTGAGGAATTTAGGATTACATTATTTCCAGACTGCAATGAAACACTCCAGGCACCAGGTTGGTATTAGAGAAGGCTGAGTAGGAATTTGGAACTTCTATCGCCACTGGACTATAACAAAGCCTCCTAATATCAATGGAGACCAATTGGGAAGCCTGGTACTTTTACACTCACCTGGTGGTAATGAGGCACCCCTCTCCCACTTTGCTAGACTGATGTCCAAGAAAACCAGTGGAAAGTTAGGACTGTCACATTCACTAGCTTTAAAAAAGGGCACCCTCTCCATTGGTGTCAGATAAGGACAAATCTTGGTAACAGTAATAAGGTGACCCTCACAGCCAGGGTAGTGTTTTGGGGGCCCATGATGGGAGCCTGAACTTCCACTCCATTGTAGTAGTAAAAGGAGCTCCTCTTCCACAGCCAGTATCAATAAAGTTCAGGTGGAGGAACTGGAGTTCCATCCCAGACACCAGTAACAGAACTTCATTTCCCCTTCACCAATCAGAATAGGGTTGGAAGAGGCCTGGTAAAACACAAACCTTTAAATAAGAACCAGAGTCTTATAACATAATACCACAAATGTGCAGGTTTTGATCAAACATCACTCTTTATTTCTTCCTACCAAGAATGATATTTTAAATTGAATGAGAAAACACAATCAACAGATGCCAAGACGAAGTTTACACCGTTGGTAGAATTGTCTAATAAGATTTACAAAGCATCTATCATAAAGATGCTTTTGCACAATGTGCAATTACCAATATGCTTGAAACAAATAAAAAAAAGAAACTCTCAGCAAA
This sequence comes from Homo sapiens, assembly GCF_000001405.40. Taxonomy (NCBI): domain Eukaryota; kingdom Metazoa; phylum Chordata; class Mammalia; order Primates; family Hominidae; genus Homo; species Homo sapiens. Next base: position 104,382,374 of record NC_000003.12, read on the forward strand.
GAAATAGAAGATCTAAAAAAGAAATAAAGGGAAATTTTAGAACTTGAACATATAACAACCAAAATTAAAAAAAACTAAACTGAATAGTTGGGTTCCATGACATTCTAGAAAGGAAAGAGGAATGAATCAGTGAGCTTAAAAATAGAACAATACTAATTACCAAAGTAATTTTCTCTTATTTTCAGATAAAATAATGTGAAAAATCAGAACCTAAAGGTGTGACTATAATAAAAGGTCTCATACTGATACTTCAGTCCCAAAAGGAGATGAGAAGGGGGTTGGGAATAAAATATTATTCAAATAAATTAAGACTGAAAATTCCCTAAATTTAGCAGAAAAAAAAATATAGATTCAAGGACCTGAGAAAACTAAAAATATAAGCCAAAAAGGATTCAAACCAAGCCCCATCATAGTCAATATTTTGATAATTAAAGACAATGAAAAAATTTTGAAAGTTACTACAGAGAAAAATGCATCCCATATATTGGAAAAGCAGTTTGAATGAAAGCTGATTTTTCAAGAACTGAAAGAACTGTCAACATGGAATTCTACATCCAGTGAAACTATCTTTAGTAATGAAGGGGAAATTAAGACAGTCTCAGATGAAAAAAACCTAAGTCATCAGCTTATCTAAATTTAACAAAAAGAAAATTATAAAAGAAGTAAGCTTGAAACATCGTGAAAAAAGGAATAATGTTATCAGAAAAAATATGGGTATATTAAATACATTTTCTTTAGCTTTTGGTTTTTTAATTACATTTGATGTTTCAAACAAAAATTTCATGATGAAGGTGCCAAAACAATTGCAACAAAAACCGAAATTGACAAATGGGACCTAATTAACCTAACGAGCTTCTATACAGCAAAAGATATTATCGAGAGAGTAAACAGACACCCTACAGAATGGAAGAAAAATATTTGCAATATATGCATCTGACTAAGGCCAGATGCCTATATATCCAGAATCTATAAGAAACTTAAACAAATTAACAAGCAAAAAGACAAACAACCCCATCAAAAAGTGGGCAAAGGACATGAACCGATAATTTTCAAAAGAAAGTATACATGTGGCCAGCAAAAATATGAAAAAATAGTTAGCATCATTAGTCATTAGAGAAATGCAAATCAAAGCCACAATTAAATACCACCTAATATCAGTCAGAATGGCTATTATTAAAAAGTCAAAAAATAGTGTTCTGGCAAGGCTGTGAAGAAAACAGAATGCTTTATACACTGCTGGTGGTAATGTAAATTAGTTCAGCTGCTGTGCAAAGCACTTTGGAGATTTCTCAAAGAACTTAAACAGAATTACCATTTTACCCAGAAATCCTATAATTGGTTATATACCCAAAAGAATGTAAATCATTCTATCATAAAGACACATGCAGGCAAATGTTCATCACAGCACTATTCACAATAGCATAGACATAAAATCAACTTAAATGCCCATCAATGATAGAATGGATAAAGAAATTGTGGTAAATATATACCAGGGAATTATACACAGTCATAAAAAGGGAGAGAATATGTTCTTTGCTGCAACATGGAGAGATCTGGAGGACTTTATCCTAAGCAAACTAACACAGGAACAGAAATTAAATACCACTTGCTCTCACCTATAAGTGAGAGCTAAACATTGAGTACATAGGAATACAAAGAAGAGAATAATAGACACTAGGGCCTACTTAAAGGTGTAGGGTGGGAGGAGGGTGAGGATACAAAACTACCTATCTAGTTCTTATCACCTGTGTGGAAAAATAATCTGTACACCAAATCCCCGCAACACACAATTTACCTAAATAACAAACCTTCAAATGTACCCCTAACCTAAAATAAGTTTAAAAAAAAAAAAAGAAACTGTGGCATATCCATACTAAGGAATACTATTCAGCAATAAAACAGAACAAATTATATATATATAACTTGGAGGGATCTCAAAGTCATTATGATCATTGAAAACAGACAGTCTTGAGAGGTCACATACCATAGAAGCCCATTTATGTGGCAGTCTCAAAATGACAACCTTATATACATGAAAAACAGATTACTGGTTGGAACATGGTAGGATGGTTAGAGAGTGGGTGGGACGGTGGGTAATAAAGAGACATGATGTAGCAGCTCTTTGTGGTGATGGAATAGCGCTGTATCATGAATGCAGTGGTGGTTACAGAAATCTCCAAATGTAAAACGATGACATCGAAGTGCACAAACTCATAATACCAATGTCAAATGTGTAGTGTTCATATTATAATAATGTAAAAGGCAGCCATAACAAATTGAGTGAGTCCATGGGGTATCTCTGTACTATTTTGCAATGTCCTGCCAATGTGTAATAATTTTAAATTTTTTTAAAGTTTTAAATAATACAACAATATAAAAAAGAATCAGTTCTGAGACTAGAATATTGAAAGTATAGACAGGTAATTTTTAGATGAATAGGTAGACTATTAAATGCATCTATCAAATGACAGAAAAATGTTTACGTGGTAAATATTAGCATCCCCTAATTAAAAGTGTTCAAGTTGATATTTAGAGAAAACTTGATAAAAGTGGCTTTCAAGGTCCTTTCTGAAAAAGTATTCTTTAATAAATCTGATGAAGCAATTTTGTCTTACCTATTGTTGTTTATGATAACAGTTGCTAAGATAACTTCCACAGATATCACCAGCTGGAAGACAAATTTGATAGAGATAAAAATTTCTCTTCCAACAACCTTACCCTAGAGTTAACAAGATTTTCTATTTTCACTTCTTTGATTAACACCTTACTCTTATTATGTTCCAACCTCTAACAGATGGCATAAAACATACCCATCATCAACATTTTAGAGTTAGTATATAAATCAACAAATGAGCAATTGTGTAGCAAATACCATGGACTTTACCACCATCTAATATTAATGAATCTTTTGAGGTCTCCATGATCAGATTGCTAATATATTAAACAAGTCTGAACAAACCTTGCACCTTACCCTGAGATTTAAATAATTTTTAAAAATAAGTGCGATTGGCTTGATAATGATACTTCAAGAGGTTTTCATGTTTGTTATCCTTTGTGAATATTACTTTCTATAGTAAATGGGCTTTGGAGATATAAATAAATTAAGGATCTTGAGATGTGCAGGTTTATCCTGGTTTCACATGGTGGGCCGTAAATGTAATTACAAGGGTGTGCTCTAAGAGGAAGTCCAGACGGTCAAAGGAAGAAGTCTGAAGAAGGATTAAGAAGTTAGAGGCCAGTGGTTGGAGTGATGCCAGGAACGGCCTCAAGCCAAGGAATAAAGCAACTTCTAGAAGCTGAAAAAGGCAAGAAAAGTGATTCTAGAAAGAACTGAACCTATTCACATTTGCATGACCCTTTTTGGACTGCTGACTCTCAGAACTCTAAGGTTTCAAAAATCAAGCCACTAAGTTTGTGGCAATTTATTACAACCACAATCATAAACTAATACAATGAGAAAAAACATTCTCCTTATTTTAATATTTTTTTTCATTTCTACCAATTACTAAAAGATTTAAAAAGCAATTAGCCATCAAATATGAAACTCACATCAATTTTGGAGTTATTTTTTCCTGGAAACCTTAATATGGAATAGCTTAAATTCAAATGATATACCAAAGTATTCATTTGAAAGCCTCATAATAAAAGACCTCTCCCAATTTCCTGATTCTAAAGATAATATTTTGAACTGCAAGTGTTCTTTCCAATATTCATAATGAGTGGATATCAAGATACATATATGCTGTATAGCATATATGAGAGAATGAATGAAAAGGAATTCAAACTCTTCTCTAATTACAAAGTAAGTTTTTAAAACTTCTAAGGTAAAATGGAATACACAATATTATTTTGTGTGCGTGTCATTAGATAAATAAATGCATGATATAGAGGAAGAAAAAATAGCACTGCTAGATGAATATAATATGGTTCAATAATATTGGAGAATAATCTAGTGAAACTTAGTAAAGCTAAGGATGGATGTGTCCATGACTTACACACATATTATTTCCTGTATATGTGCCAAGAAATAAACTCTTACACCAAAAACATCTTTTGAAAGGAGACATCTACATGAATGGTCAAGGGAGTATTGTTTACAATAATAACTGAAAAAACAATAAAATAACTATGAAACTACAATAACTACAAAAACTAAACCAATAATAACTAGATAACCAATAAAAAGTAGAAAAACAACAAAATGGAAATCCCATAGGAAGAAAATAGTTACATATAGTATTGATATACAGCCACTAAATACTAGAAAGAAGGGAAAATAAACTATAGCTATGCACATCAACGTGAATGGATTGCAACCACATAATATCAAAGCCAAATGAAAAATAATATATACACTACAACCCAATGTATAAAAACCAGAAATATGAAAAAACTAAACAATATGTTTTCTAGGAATGTATAGACATATTGTAAACCATCAAGTAGAGAAAGGAAATGGTAAGCAAAGATTCAGGATGGCAGTGAGCTCTGGGGAGCAAATAGGAAAATGTAACCTAGGGATAGGAGGTAGGTGAGGAGCGCAATAGAAAGATGAAGGTAGTGGTAATATTTATTTTATTTAAGCTATGTGGAGATGTTTATTACATTATCATTTTTAAAACAAGCTTTTTTACATTGATGATCTTTATGACACTTTTTAAGGCAACATTCAGAGTAACCAAGGGGAGGTCATACCTTTTTAGCTGGTTTGAGTTTTCATGTCTTTCCTGAAAGGCTGCTAAAGGGTGCAACACATAACAAATTCTCAGTCTTTTAGACATCACAATGCTTTTTTAGCTGAAGTACTTAAGAAAGCAAACCTCTAGTTTCATGTTAAGTTGCCATGATAAATCCTGTGTCATTCATATGTTCAAAGAATATAACTGCTTATTTAGGTTTATACAATAGTATCTAGAGCCTGTTATGTTTATTACAGATTTAGCTCAGATTTTTCTCCTTCACCTTCTGGTCTTTGAAATACTTCCTTGTTTGTCTCACTTTTTTCCTCATGCTGCCAACCCTGCAATTAGGCTATTTTTTTTTTTTAATGAAGGAAGTAATCATAAGCTTCTAAATCTCAGTTCTCTTATTTTTCTGGTTTGCTTTTTTTTTTCTTGCAATTAATTACAATCTCTGAGCTACAATTTAATTATTATCAAGATGATAATGCACACATCATAGGGCTTTTGTGCAGATAAAATGACATAAAATTTTAGCAGAATTGTGAGGTACTGAATAAAATTTAGCACTCCTTGCTGTCTTTCCCTTATTTCAGTCTCAGGTCCACCCTTTTAGCCACACCCACAAGAGGGCTCTAACTAGCTTTTTTCTTGTTACTGTTTTTCCCTTTGCACTTCATTTCTTCTTTACTAAACCTTCTCTAGATCTCCAATTTCTAGACTATTGTCGATCATTTTATTTTCAAACTACCCATTCTTCTAATAGCAATCCAGTCTTTTATTATCTTTTGCTCATTTTTCGTCCAATCTCATTTTCTTGTGAACTAATACTTGCCCACCTAACACGCCAAAGTTTCTATTTCCTCAATGACATCATGGCTGCTGCTACGTTAAGGGATCCTCTGATGACTCACAAACAAGATTAATATGTAAAGAAATTCTCACTCTTTTCTCTAAATAATTGCAGTTATTCTCCCATAACTATAGTTATTATTTTCCTAATAATTACGTTGATCATTGTCAAAGTGGACACACACAGGTCCATCATGTAAATAAAAATAATTTTAATATAATTAGTTTTTTAAACATAAAACTTGACATTTTATTTATTGAAAGTATATAATAAGAAATTTGAGAATTAGATTATTCCTTATACTTAAATTGACACCATATATCAACACTGTTTGGTGTTATATCCTGAGAATAGTTGAATTATTCTTTACACCCCCCCAAAACAAAAAATACTTAAATCACCAAAACACAGAATTTTTCTTTCTGTGGGCATAGGAGGAGTCAAGATTTTCTTCCACGTTTAAAATTCAGGAGGGACACCCTCAGAACTTTCCACACAGTTTAAGACTAGCTGTCAGAACATTTATGCAGATAGTACACTCATATGCCGATACTGTAAATACATAAAAATTTTTGTTGATATTTAATTACTCTGTTCATAGCAAATCTCTGATGTCCATTATAGATAGTTTATATTACTGATAGACCATTATTTTTACACATACTGAGGCAATTACTTGTATTCGCGGGCTTCTTAGGCCTATTCCTATTTAATGAGTAATGACTGGCAGAAGAAACAATATTTTCTAAATTCCCAGATGTTGAGCATAAAAATATATATTTTCTTTAGTCTTTAGGGCTCTCAAACTTTCTGTTATATAGGAAAGTGGAAAGTTAAAATAGGAGAGAAGACAAAGAACAAGATATGTAGCTGAGGTATGGCAGTCTGCCAAATAGTTATGATCAGCCTGCAATATTTACTGTGCAGCAAGTAAAATAGCACTCTGCATTGTGTAGAAGGAATTAGAGAGTGGGAGTGGTTCCCTAGTCTACTTTAGTCAACACTGTTTTGAGGAGGCAAAAATAGTATATGAAACTAATCTAATTAAAGGAACCTCAAAGCTAATGGGATGTATTACTAATATTGTAAATGTGGTGTTTATTTGAAAAAAGAAAACTTACTTGAAAAAGAATTGCATTCCCTTTCTTACATGAAATAATCAGAAAAAAATTGTGATTCAGAGAGCTGAAACCATGAGGAGGTCGTATACAAACAAGTGAAATAAACAAATCAAATATTTAATTAAAATTCAAACTTAATGGAAGCCCAATTTTATTATTGTATGTGAATTTTAACCAATAATAATTTTTCAAATATTATAAAATGTGAAAACTAATGTTGATATTAAGTTTTTTTCACTGGATTAAAACTCTGTCATCTTGTTATTTGCTTTACAAATTGATACTTGACCAAAAATATTTACATAATAAAGAGATATAGTTGGATTTCCTATATATTGGTTTATTCTAGTCAACCATGAAGTAGAATCTTGTTATGGGAAAACAGTTAATCAAAATTTGTAAACAACACATAGCTAAGTATGGCAAATACACAAAGAGTAACATAATGAGGTAGTTTCTAGTGCATGGAAATTAAAGTCTCTTTAGGGAGATGATGAAAAAACTGGAAGAAAAAAACTGGAGAATGGCATATTTAAAGTTTATTGTTGCATAAAGTGTATAAATATTCTAAAATTTTAGCAAAGGAAGGGACTGTTGTACCTTGAATAGTAGAATGAGATGTCCTAATGGAGGAATGGTTAGCTTTCATGCAGAAATTTTAGTATAATTAGGGAAGACAGTGAGAATGGCATCATTGTTGTCTGAAGAGAGCAGGAGCAAAAACACAAACATAGAATACATATGAGGAGGGAGCCAAGGGAGGGAATGGAGAAATGGAGGATCATAGCAAAATGATGTTCCCTTAAGATGTCCATGTCCTAATTCCCAGAATTTGTGAATATGTTAGGTTATATGGAAAAGGGAATTAAGTTTGCTGATGGAATTAAGGATGCTAATCAGCTACCTAAAAATACAGAAATGATTTTGCCTTATCTAGGTTTGCCCAATGTAATTAAAAGATTCCTAAAAGTTCATCAAGGAAAACAGAAGAGTCAGAACCGAACAGGCAGATGTAACTACAGAAGCAAAATTGGAATGCTGAGCTATGGGAAGTATTCAAGTCAACTACGCTGGTTTTGAAAATGAAAGAAGAGTGTGACCAACCAAGGAACACCGGCAGCCTCTACATACTGGAAAAGGTAAGGAAACAGACTATCACCCATGGCCTCCAGAAAGTGAGGAAGCCTAATATTAGTCTGTTTTCACACTGCTATAATTATACTACCTGAGACTTGATAATTTGTTAAAAAAAATGTTTAATTGGCTCACAGTTCAACAAGGCTGGGGAGACCTCAGGAAACATACAATCATGGTGGAAGGAGAAACAGGCACATCTTGCATGGCAGCAGGAGAGAGAATGAGTGAAGGGGAAACTGTCAAACACTTATAAAACCATTAGATCTCATGAGAAATCATTCACTGTCATGAGAACAGCAAAGCAGAAACTTCCCTCATGATCCAATCACCTCCCACCAAGTTGGTCTGTTGACACGTGGGGATTTATGGGGATTACAATTTGAGATGAAATTTGGGTGGGGACTCTGAGCCAAACCATATTATTCCATCCCTTATCACTCCCAAATCTCACATTCTTTTTACATTTCAAAACCAATCATGCTTTCTACAGTCCCCTAAAGTCTTAACTCTTTCCAGTCTTAACTCAAAAGTACAAGTCCAAAGTCTTATCTGAGACAAGGCAAGTCCCTCCCACATCTGAGCCTGTAAAATCAAAAACAAGTTAGTTACTTCCAAAATATAATGGGGGTACAGTCCCTTGATAAGTCCTCCTATTCCAAATGGGAGAAATTGCCCACAAAAAAGAGACTATAGTCCCCAGGAAAGCCTCAAATCCAGCAGGACAGTCATTACATCTTGGACAGCTTTGCCCTGTGGCTTTGTAGGGTACATTCCCCATCCCAGCTGCTTTCATGAGCTAGTGTTGAGTGTCTGTGGCTTTTCCAGGCGTATGGTGAAAGCTGTTGGTGGATCTGCCATTCTGGGGTCTGGAATACAGAGGCCTTTTCTCAAAGCTCTGCTAGGCACTACCCCAGTGGAGACTCTGTGTGGAGACTGAAACCCCATATTTTCCCTCCTCACTGCCCAAGCAGAGGTTCTCCATGGGGACTCCACCCCTGCAGCAGACTTGCCTGAACATCCAGGCATTTCCATACATGCTCTGAAATCTAGGTAGAATTTCCCAAACCTCAATTCTGTGGACCTGCAGGTTGGACCTCAATTCAACCTTGGACCTCAATTCAACTTCTGTGCACCTGCAGGCCCAACATTATGTGGAAGCCACCAAGGCTTGGGGCTTTCACCCTCTGAAGAAATGGCCTGAGTTGTACCTTGAGCCCTTTTAGCCATGGCTGGAGTTGGAATGGCTGGGACGCAGGGCACCAAAACCCAAAGCTGCACACAGCCTGGCTCATGAAACCATTTTTCCCTCCTAAGCCTCCAGGTCTGTAATAGCAGGGGCTGTACCCAAGAACTCTGAAATGCCTTGGAGATATTTTCCCCAATGTCTTGGTGATGAACATTTGCTTCCTTGTTCCTTAGGCAAATTTCTGCAGCCAGCTGAATTTCTCCCCAGAAAATAGGTTTTTCTTTTCTATCGCATTGTCAGCCTGCAAATTTTTCAAATTTTATGGTCTGCTTTCCTTTTAAACATAAGTTCCAATTTCCCATCATTTTTCTCAAGTTCAAAGTTCCACAGTTCTCTAGGGCAGGAGCAAAATGCTGCCAGTCCCTTTGCTAAAGCGTAGCAAGAGACACCTTTGCTCCAGATTCCAAGAAGTTTTTCATCTCCATCTGAGACCGCCTCAGCCTAAACTTCATTGTCCACATCATTATCAGCATTTTGGTCAAAACCATTCAAGTCTCTAGAAAGTTCCAAACTGTCACACATCTTCCTGTCTTCTTCTGAGCCCCTAAACTGTTTCATCCTCTGCCTGTTACCCAGTTCCAAAATCGTCCACACTTCCAGATTAGCTTTATAGCAGGATCCAACTCCACTGGTACTAATTTACTATATTAGTTCCACTTTCACACTGCTATAAAGACACTTCCCAAGACTAGGTAATTTATTTTAAAAAAAGAGGTTTAATTGATTCACATTTGCACATGGCTGGGGAGGACTCATGAAACTTACAATTTTGGTGGAAGGGGAAACAGGCATATATTACATGGCATCAGGAGAGAGATTGTGTGAAGGAGAAACTGCCCTACACTTATAAAACCATTAGATCTCATGAGAACTCACTCACTATTACGAGAACAGCGTGGGGAAAACTGCCTTGCCCCCATGATCCAATCACTAGTCCCTCCCTCAACATGTGGGGATTATAAAGATTACAATTCGAGATGAAATTTGGGTGGAAACACAGAGCCAAACCATATCAAGCACCAATGACACCTTTATTTTAGTTCACTAAGACCTGTCTTGTTCTAACCTACAGCACTATAAGAATAGGGGAGGCAAAGTTTTACCTCTACGTTCTTAGAGCCCCCTGCTGGACCTGGGAATTAAATTGACATGAATAGATTGACAGGAGAAAAGCATACAAGTATAGTATGTTTGACACAACAAGGGAGCTCTCATAAGCAAATTAAGACTCAAAGATGTGGCAAAATTTACATACCTTTGTAGTAGGTTCAGCAAATAGAGGCAATTGAGGAAAAGTGATTATATTATATGGTGAGGCTAAAGGAAGACAATAATTATTTTAACAAGGTCTAGTTGTACAAAATTATCTTGTTTATAGCTCCCCATCCCAACATGTTTCTTTTCTCTTGGTACAGAAGGGCATCTTTCACATGGGAGTTTTTATCTCTTATTTGTAGGAGAACATTGGAATGCCCTTCTTGCATCTGCTATTTTTCAGGTGCCTTTAAACTGAAGTAAACCTTATGTCAAAGTTACATATGTTGGGGTGGAATATTCTGCCACCATTCATAAGATAATACATTTGTATTCCCTTATACCACTTTTTGTGGTAATTTGTTCTGGATTGCCTAGAAGCTTAAGTCATCATCACTCTAAGAGTAAGGATCAATATTCAGATAAAGAGGGATATCCTTTATTAATGGTGTGAGAATGAAAATCAACAAAAATAAGAAAAAATATACTTTTTAAGTCAAATGTTGGAGACAAAAATGACTGAAGAGAAATGTGGATGATAAATATATTTTTTTCCAAAGATATAAAATGGCAATATACTAGATGATTCTTTTCAATTATTGTTTAGTTACTATTTGTATAAGACCTATGTGAAATTACCAAATTTTTTTGAATAGCAATAATTTAATTTAGTATGAATTGGATTAACATTTGCAATGGAGGTATAATATGTAGATAAAAATATTTTACTGAAGTAGGAGAATTTCAGATATGTACATATAATATGCACCATATATAGTAAAACATGTCATCCAAATGTATAAATATAATTACCTCAATTTTATTTTTAAAAGCCATACTCATTACAAAAGAGAAATCTGTAAGGTAATGATGACCTCAAGTCTATTTTTCAATTTAAATTATATAATCAATTTATAATTATCTATATTAATGATAAATTTAGATCTACATACATTGAATTTAATCACTTTCAGCACAATTCACATAATGACTATTACAAATAATAAACATAAGATTCTATAGTTTATTTAATCATGGATCCATCCTGTCCACCACATTATTTTAACTTAGTAACACCAAATGCCTCGCAAATTATAAATAACTACTCTTTTCCTTTGTTATTCTCCATTATTTTGAATGAAAATAGTTAGACTATTTCAAGATACGGACTAGGGTTTTTACCTACTTCATTTCTTTTTTCAGATAGAACCCAAGGACATTTTACTGATCTGAGCATATTTTATATCAATCGTTTTGAGACTACTTTATTTGCATTAACAAGTGAGTATTTCAGACCAGCAGCCCTCAAGGTCTTTCAATAACTCAGAAATACCTATCCATATACTCAGTTATTCCATTATATCTCTGTGAACAAAAATGAGCTGTGAGAATGAACATTGGCATGTAAACTTCAATCTTTCATGCCTTCTCATTTTATAGAGTTGCCTATGTTTAACACTGGTTCCACAATAACACTTCAGTGACAAAAATGTGCTTTCAAACTAGGATTAACAGTTGATGAAGGAAACAGAATAAAGGCTATAACGATTTGTATAATAATCACATTCTGATATTGAATTGCTTTATTATTTATTTCCTGTAGAACTATATACTTAGCCATGAACAATAAGCATACAAAGGTATTAGAATGAGTTATTTAGCAGTTACGTTATCTTTTATAAGTAGTGTAAACTGCATAATTGTTTAATATATCTTTTAGCTTTCAGGTTTCTTTTATTTATTCACTACTATTTTCCTCATACTTGAGAAATGTTAAAAATATTTATCAATAAAAAATTGAAACTACTAGACTCCAATTCTCTCAAATAATAAATATTTGATTTTATTTACCTAAAAAAATTTTGTAGAATTTATAGGCCATCGTCTTCCCAGCTACAGAATATTAATAAAATGAACACTAATAAATGTGTGTGTGTATATATATATATATTCACATATTTCTTAGCCTTCAGGTACCCATCATTTATATATAAATTATTGTATGTAAATGATATATATGATATATAAATCATTTGCATATAAATGATGTGTACATGAAAGCTAATAAAGAGTTTCTCACTATAGAATTATTATTTCTGGCTTCATGATGAAATGTTTCTCAAAACATCTGCTCTGTGGGATTTTTGAGATTCTTGTTATCAAAACTATCTTTATAATAACAGATGTTACTTGTCTTTTTCACTTCTTTGACACTTGCATTGATGGTGCAAAAACAGTAGTGGATGAGAGTACTAGCACAAATTAGAGCAATGGCATCAAACAGTAATTATAGTCTCTTGCAGAAATTAAAACATCAGTTTCAGTCAAAATAAGCCAATAAAATTTCTTTATTTGTTTAAATAAAATACACACTTTTTTAAAAGTACAGACTTTAAAAATACTTCTTGTAACAAAATGGAGCAAAATATGTTTATTCCGACTTCAGCATTTGGCAGACATTTTCCTAAAAATGAAAAAAGTGAGGCTTCCACTTCAAGGAAAAAAAATGACAATATATCTATCTAATGAGAACAATTAAGCTATTATGAGAAAATTAGAATTTTGGAAAACTTGTATCTGTTACCATAACTTGGCAGCTTTCCAAAAAGACTTTTCTAATTACATCAGTAGTCATATTAACACATGTAATTTACTTTTGATATCTTAAAATGAAAAGTGATAACATTTATGCAATTAATTACATAATACAGTGAAGCAGTATTTTTCAAATGACCAATATATGATGTCAAAAATCACTTATGGGTAAAATATCATCTTAAAGTGCATGCTAAACCAATAGCTTTTAACACTTGAGTATGGAAGTTTAGTCATAGGCTTTCAGATTCTACATTGCAACTTATTTCCGAAATATGTGGGGAGTTTGATATAGTAACAAAAAAATCCACTAACTGTTATTATAGCGCTTTCCCTTTTCTAACTACATATATGTGAAAACTCTGCTTTTCTTCATATGTTTCAAAGGAACATATTAAAATTACTGTGTTCTATAGTAAGTAATGAATGAGATTTATATATATGTAAATCTCTACCTCTATCACTAATTTTTATTATTCTGGGATATATAATAATTATTCATTTTTATAAGAGACATACACCATTTTTTTCAAAATAGAATTAGTTTTGTCCTGTTGTATTAGTTATTGAATACTCAAATTTTTTATTTTTGTATTTTAATCTGGAAATCATTAATAGAGATATCCACATTTTAAAAGCCCTTTAAGAATCTCAAAGCTTTGTAAGAAAGGAGGCAAATATTGATTGAGAGGATCAAGATTTTTTTCTAAATTATTCACTTTTTATATTGTTAAAATTTGCATGTCTTTATCATGTACAACATGATTTTTAAAATATGTACAGTGTGAAATGGCTAAATGAAGCTAAGTAACATACACATTGCCTCACATACTTATTTTTTTGTGGTGAGAGCACTCACAACCTGCTCTCAGCAATTTTCAAGAATACAATCATTACTATTAACTATATTCACCATATTGTACAATAGACTTATCTAACCTACTGCTTCTATCAAATTGAAATTTTGTATTATTGGAGCAACATCTCTTCAACCCCCACCCCACCCCCTAGTAACCACTATTTTATTCTCTACTTTTATTAGTTCAATTTTTAAAATTCCATATAAACGGAGATCATGTACTCTTTTTATTTCTGTACCAGGCTTATTTCACTTAATATAATGTTCTCCATGTTCATTTATGTTTTTACACACAACAGGATTTCTTTCTTTTTAAGGCTGAATCATATTTCATTGTGTATATATGCTACATTTTATTCATTCACCCATTGATGGACATTTGGGTTGATCACTGTTCCTTATCCACATAGAGTTTACCTGTTTAATGAGGAAGACAAATTTATAGCGACAGAGTGAGACTCCATCTCAAAAATATATATTTATAAATAAATAAACTCATGCATATGACATAAAACAAGTAAATAATAGATTCTCTTTGAATGTCTTTTAGTTAACTCCTTTGCTTGACTCTATCATGTAATACTCATTGTTCTGTTTCAGAGAAGTCTGACCTGTGTAGATTATATTAGAAGCCTCTTTTGCACAAGAATAACTGAGTTATTGTTCTTCCTATGCTATGCTGTCCCTTATTGGTTTTCCTATGCTATTTATAAAAGAAAGCATTAAAAGTTATGTATCTTTAAAATTTATGTATGGATTTGTTAATCAGAATAATATTTTTTAAAATAGTAGGTGCAGGGAGAGGGAAGGAAGGCAAGAAGGCTGAATACAAGCCCCCAGTGATCTTTCCCTCCACAGGAACACCAAATTGAACAGCTACCCACATACAAAAAACACCTTCATAAGAACCAAAAATCAGGTAAGTGATCACAGTACCTGGTTTTAACATATTATTAAGAAAAGAGACACCAAATAAAGTAGAAAAGACAGTCTTGAATTGCCTACACCACTCCCTAACTCCCGGCAGAGGCTATGTGGCACAAAGAGAATCTGTGCACTTGTTGGAGAGAGAGTGTAGTGACTGTGGAATTTTGCATTGGAAATCAGTGCTGCCCTGTCATATTGGAAAACAGCATGAGGCAGAATTCAGCTGGCACCTATGGAGAAAGCATTTAGACCAGCCCTAGCCATAGGCAAATCATCCAACCTAGCAGTTGGAACTTGAGTTCCAGCAAGCTCTGCCGCTGTGGGTTAAAGTGCTCTGGGAT
Organism: Homo sapiens; assembly: GCF_000001405.40. NCBI lineage: Eukaryota > Metazoa > Chordata > Mammalia > Primates > Hominidae > Homo > Homo sapiens. Next base: position 104,397,386 of record NC_000003.12, read on the forward strand.
CCTAAATAAACTTGAAAGGCAGTCTGGGCAACAAGAACTGAAATTCTTGAGCAATTCCTAGTGCTGTTCTTGGCTGAGAACCAGTGGACTTGAGGTGTATGTGACCAAGCAAGACACCAACTAGGACAGCTAAGTGAGTGCTTGCATCACCCCTTTCCTAACCCCAGGCAGCAGAGCTCACAAGTCCATGAGAGACAGCTTTCTTTGAATTGAGGAGAGGTGAAGGGAAAGTAAAGAGGACTTTGTCTTTCAACTTGGATGACAGCTCAGTCACAGTAGAATAAAGCACCAGGCAGAGGCCTGAGGACCCCATTCCAGGCCCTAGTTTCCAGATGACGTATCTAGACATACCCTGTGTGAGAAGGGAACCTGCTGCCTTGAAGGGAAGGAACAAGTTCTTGTAGAATTCATCACATACTGAATAAAATCCCTTGGGAACAGAATAATTAGCAGTGGTGGCAAGGCAGTACTTGCCACAGGCCTTTAGTGCTCCTTAGAGAAATACTGGCTTCAAATGGGATCCAGCACATTCCCAGCTGTGTTGGCCACAGGAGTGCTTGTGTCACCCAGCTCCCAAATCCAAGCAGCTCAGCACAGAGAGAGAGAGAGAGAGAGAGAGACTCTGTTGTTTGAGAGAAAGTAAAGGGAAGAGAACAAAAGCCTATGCCTGGTAATCCAGGGAATTCTCCTAGCTCTCACCCAAGACCATCAAGGCAGCACATCCATAAGTCTGGAAAAGAAACAGCAACACTAGGATTGGGGTGCCCTCTAATGCAGATACAGCTGAAGTGACCAAAGACATAGATTGCAGCACCCAAATTCTATCAAATACTTGAAAAGCCTTCCCAAGAAGGACAGGTAAAGCAAACCCAGCATGCAAAGACCACAACAAATATCTGAATCTTCAATGCCTAGACACCAGTGAACATCCACAAGCACTAAGACCATCCAAGAAAACATGACCTCACCAAATGAACTAAATAAGGCACCAGTGACCAATTTGATACATATGTGACCTTTCAAACAGATAATTCAATATAGCTGTTCTGAGAAAACTCAAAGATATCCAAGATAACACAGAAAAGGACTTCAGAATCCTATCAGATAAATTTAACTAAGAAATTTAAATAATTTTTAAAAATCAAGTAGAAATTTTGGAGCTGAAAAAACCAATAGACATGCTCAAAAACGCATCAGAAACTCTTAACAGCAAAACTGATCAAGCAGAAGAAAGAATTGGTAAGCTTGAAAATAGGCAATTTGAAAATACACAGTCAGGGAACCAAATAAATAAATAAATAAAAAAGAATAAAACATGAAAACAGGAGGTAGAAAATAGCCTCGAAAGGGCAAATCCAAGTTTTTGGCCTTAAAGAGGAGGCAGAGAGAGAGAAATCAGGGTAGAAAGTTTATTGTCAGCATCATCCTGTTACAAAAACCTGGCAGAGTAACAACAAAGAAAGAAACTTCAGGATAATATCTTGATGAATACTGATGCAAAAATCTTCAACAAAATCCTTGCAAAGTGAGTTTAGCAACACATCCAAAAGCTAATCTACTACAATCAAGTAGGTTCTATCTCTGGGATAAGAGGTTGGTTCAACATACACAAATCAATAAACGTGATGCATTACATAGAAGGAACTAAGAATAAAAACCACATGATTATCTCAATAGACACAGAAAAGGCTTTCAATAAAATTCAACATCCCTTCATATTAAACACTCTCAGTAAACTCGGTATTGAAGGAAGATACCTCAAAATAATAAAAACCATTTATGACAAACCCATAGCCAACATCACACTGAATGCACAAAAGCTAGAACATTCCCCTTGGAAACCAGCACAAGATAAGGATGCCCTCTCTCACCACTCTTATTCAACCTAGTATTGGAAGTCCTGGCCAGAGCAATCAGGCAAAGGAAAGAAATACAATAAATTCAAATAAGAAGAAGGAAAGTCAAACTATCCCTGTTTGCAGATGACATGATTCTATATTTAGAAATCCACATAGTCTTGGCCCAAGGTCTCCTTAAGCTGATAACCTCAGCAAAGTTTCAGGATACAAAATCAATGTACAAAAATTATTGGTATTCCTATACACCAACAAGAGTCATGCTGGCAGCCAAATCAGAAATGCAGTCTCATTCACAATTGACACAAAAATAATAAAATATGTAGGAATACAGCTAACCAGTGAGGTGAAAGATCTCTACAATGAAAATTACAAAACACTGCTTAAAATGGAATGGATAGGAAGAATCAATATCATTAAAATGGCCATACCGCCCAAAGCAACTTACAGATTTAATGCTATTGCTGTATCAAACTACCAATGACAATCTTCATAGAACTAGGAAAAACTATTTTAATATTCATATAGAATAGCAACAACAAAGACTATATAGCCAAGACAATTATTTTTGTTGTTGTTGAGACAGTCTCATTCTGTCATCCAAGATGGGGTACAGTTGCACGATCATGACTTACTGCAACCTTGACCTCCTGGGTTCAAACAATCCTCCTACCTCAGCCTCCCAAGTAGCTGGGACTACAGGCATGTGCTACCATGCCCACCATGTGTATTTTTAATAGAGACAAGGTTTTGCCATGTTACTCAGGCGGGTCTTGAACTCCTGGGCTTAAATAATCCACCTGCCTCGGCCTCCCAAAGTGCTAGGATTATAAGTGTGAACCACTACACCTGGCCTAGCAATTCTAAAAAAAAGAACAAGGCTAAAGGCATCATGTTGTGTCAGGAATTTATTCCTTCTGGTGGGTTCTTGGTCTCGCTAACTTCAAGAATGAAGCCATGGACCCTTGCGGCGAGTGTTACAGTTCTTAAAGATGGTGTGTCTGGAGTTTGTTCTTTCAGATGTTTAGATGTGTCCAGAGTTTCTTCCTTCTGGTGGGTTTGTGGTCTCGCTGACTTCAGGAGTGAAGCCGCAGACCTTCGCAGTGAGTGTTACAGCTCTAAAAGGTGGTGCATCTGGAGTTGTTTGTTCCTCCCAGTGACTTCGTGGTCTCCCTGACTTCAGGAGTGAAGTTGCAGACTTTCGCAGTGAGTATTATAGCTCATAAAGGTAGCGCGAACCCAAAGAGTGAGCAGCAGCAAGATTTATTGTTAAGAGGGCAAGAAGAAAACTTCCACAGTGTGGAAGGGGACCTCAGTGGGTTGCCACTGCTGGCTCGGGTGGCCAGCTTTTATTCCCTTATTTGGCCCCACCCATGTCCTACTGATTGGTCCATTTTCCAGAGCCCTGATTAGTCCATTTTACAGAATGCTGATTGGTCCCTTTTTACAGAGTGCTGATTGTTGTGTTTTCAAACCGTTAGCTAGACACAGAGCACTGACTGGTGCATTTTTACAGAGTGCTGATTGGTCTGTTTTTACAGAGTGCTGATTGGTGCATTTTCAAACCTTTAGCTAGACATAGAGCACTGATTGGTGCATTTTTTACAGAGTGCTGATTGGTGCAATTACAAACCTTTAGCTCTACAGAAAAGTTCTCCAAGTCCCCACTCGGCCCAGGAAGTCCAGCTGGCTTCACCTCTCAAAGTTACCCTACTTCAAACTATACTACAGAGCTACAGTAACCAAAACAGCAGTGTACATGTACAAAATCAGACACATAGACCAATAAAACAAAATAGAAAGCCCAGAAATAAGGCCACACACCTACAATCATCTGATCTTCAACAAAGCTGACAAAAACAAACAATGAGAAAAGAACTTCCTATTCAATAAATGGTGCTGGGATAACTGGAAAGCAATATGCAGAAGATTGAAACTGGACCCCTTTCTTACATCATATACAAAAATCAACTCATGATATACTAAAGACTTAAATGCAAGACCCAAAACTATACAAAAAGAAACCCTGGAAAGCAACATACACAATACTATTCTGGATATAAGAACTGGCAAACATTTCATGAGAAAGAGGCCAAAAGCAATTGCAACAGAAGTAAAAATTGATAAATAGGACCTTATTAAACTATAGAGCTTCTGAACAGCAACAGAAACTATCAACAGAATGAACAACCTATAGATTGGGAGAAAATATCTACCAACTATGCATCTGACAAAGGTGTAATATCCAGCACCTATAAAGAACTTAAACAAATTTACAAGAAGAAAACAAACAATCTCATTTAAACAATGGGTAAAGGGCACAAACAGACACTTTTTGAAAGAAGACATATACACCACCAAAAAGCATATGAAAAAAAACTCTATATCACTAATCATTAGAGAAGTGCAAATCAAAACCATGATAAGATACCATTTTACACAAGTCAGAGTGGCTATTATTAAAAAGTCAAAAAATAACAGATTCTGACAAAGTGATGGAGTAAAGGAAACACTTATACACTGTTGGTGAGAGTCTAAATTAGTTCAACCATTGTGAAAAGCACTGTGGCAATTCCTCAAAGAACTAAAAACAGGAACTGTCATTCAACCCAACAGTCCCATTACTGGGTATATCCTCAAAGGAACGCAATCGATCTAACATAAAGATACACATGCACACATATGTTCACTGCAGCGCTATTCACAATAGCAAACATGTAAAATCAATCGAAACGCCCATCAGTGTTAGACTGGAGAAACAAAATGTGGTATATAGACACCATGGAATACTATGCAGCCATAAAAAGAATGAGATCATGTCTTTTGCAGGAACATGAATGGATCTGAAGACCATTATCCTTAACAAACTAATGCAGAAACAGAAAATCAAATACTGCATGTTCTCACTTATAAGTAAGCGCTCAATGATGAGGACACACAGACATGAAGAGGGAAACAACAGACATTGGGGCCTACTTGAGACTGGAGGGTGGGAGAAGGGAGAGGATCAGAAAAAATAACTATTGTGTACTAGGCTTAGTACTTGGGTGATGAAATAATCTGTACAACCCTTGTGATATGAGTTTGCCTGTATAACAAACCAGCACATGTACCCCTGAATCTAAAATAAAAGTTTTTTTTTAAAGAAAGGGATTTTAACAGAGAATTTCCCGAAAAGAAAGAGATCAATACTCAAGTATAAGAAGGTTACAGAACACCAAACAGATTTAACCCAAACAAGAATATGTCAAGACATTTATTAGTGAGACTCTCAAAAGTCAATGATAAAGAAAGGATTCTAATAGCAGAAAGAGAAAAGAAACAAATAACATACAAAGGAGCTGTAATAAATCTGAGAGTAGACTTCTCAGTGCAAATCTTACAGGCCAGGAGGGAGGGGCATGACATACTTAAAGTGCTAAAGGAAAAAGTAGTTTATTCTAGAATAATATATCCAGTTAAAACATCCTTTGAATGTGAGGGACAAATAAGTTCCCAGACACACAAAACCTGAGGGATTTTATCAACACCAGAATCACCCTGTAAGAAATGCTAAAGGGAATTCTTCGGTCTGAAATAAAAGAATGCTCATGAGCAATAAGAAATAATCTGAAGGTACAAAACTCACTGGTAGTAGTAAGCACAAAGAGAAACACAGAATATTATGACACTATAATTGTGGTGTGTGAACTATTCATGTCCGGAAAAGAAAGATTAAAATATGAACCTATCAAATAATAACTGCAAAAACTTTTCAAGACACAGGTGGTATAATAATGTGTGAATAAAAACAAAACAAATTAAAATTAGGAGGATGAAGTTTACAGTTTATATTAGTTTTCTCAGTTTGTTTATGCAGTGTCATCATTTATTTAAAATACAAGTTATAAGATATTATTAGCATGGCTCATGATAACGTTAAATTAAAAAACACAATAGATATAAAAAACAAAAAGTAAGAATACCAAATAGAAGATCAGAGAAAACCACCTTTGCTAAAAGGAAGCCAGGAAGGAAGAAAACAAAACAAAAAAAAAAATATGAAGACCACAAAACAACTGAAAATAAATAAAATGGCAAGAGTAAGTTTGTACTTAATAATATCATTTTAATTGGACTAAACCCTCCAATTAAAAGACATAGGGTGGTTGAATGGATAAAAAAAGAAGACCAAATGACCTATTACCCAAAAGAAGTACATTTCATCTATAAAGACACACATAGAATAAAAATAAAGGTAAAGAAAAATATATTCTATGCAAATAGAAACCTAAAGAAAGAGCAGGAATTTGGGCTAGAAGCTGTGGCTCATGCCTTTAATTCCAGCCCTTTGGGAGTCTGAGGCAAGTGCATCGCTTGACCCCAGGAGTTGAGACCATCCTGGGAAGCTGAGAAGACTTCTTCTCTACAAAAAATAATTTTGAAAATTTAGCTGGGCAAATTCATGGACATCTGTGGTCAGAGCTACTCAGGAGGATTAGGTGGGAGGGTCACTTGAGCCCAGGAGTTTGAAACTGCAGTGAGCTATAATTGTGCCACTGCACTCCAGCCTCAGTGACAGAGTGAGACCCTGTCTCAAAATTAAATGGAATTAACTTAAATTTTTAAACAGATCAGGAATAGCTACAGTTATATCAAACAAAATAGATTTCAAGAAAGAAACTATTAATGAGACAAAGAAAATCACTATATGATGATAAGATGTCAATTCAGCAAGAAGATATAACAATTAGAAGTATGCACCCAGTACTGGAGCATCCAGATATATAAAGCGAATATTATTAGAGCTAAAGAGAGAAATAGACCCTAATGCAATAATAGCTGGGGACTCCAACACCCAACTTTGAGCACCAGACAGATCTTACAGACAGAAAATCAACTAAAAAAGATCAGACTTAATCTGCATTATAAACCAAATGCACATAGTAAATGTTTACAGTACAATTTATCTAGTAGCTGCAGAAAATAAATTCTCCTCAGCACTTGGGTCATTCTCAAGGATAGACCATGTGTTGGGCTATAAAGTCTTTAAATATTCAAAGTCTTTACAAATTCAAAAAGAAGAAATTACATGAAATATCTACTCTTACCACAATAAAATAAAACTAGAAATCAATAACAAGATAAATTTTGGAAAGTATATAAACATATGGAAATTTAAATAATATGCTCCTGGATGATGAATGGCTCATGAAGAAATTAAGTAGGAAATTAAAATTTTTCTTGATACAAATGAAAATGGAAACATGACATACCAAAAACCTATGGAATATAGTGAAAATAGTAGTAAAAGGAAAGTTTATAGCAATAAGCATCTACATCAAAAAAGTAGAAAAACTTTAAATAAACAACCTAACAATATATCTTAAGGAATTAGAAAAGTAAGAAGAAACCGAATCCCAATTTAGTAAAAGAAAAGAAATAATAAATATTAGAGCAGAAATAAATGAAATGAAAATGGAAAAACATACAAAAGATCAATGAAATAAATAGTTGCTTTTTTTTTGAAAAGAAAAAACAAATTGACCAACTTTAGCCTGATTAAGAAAAAAAGAGAGGGGCCGGGTGTGGTGGCTCATGCCTGTAATCCCAGCATTTTGGGAGGCCGAGGCGGGCGGATCAAGAGGTCAGGAGATCCAGACCACGGTGAAACCCCGTCTCTACTAAAAATACAAAAAATTAGCTTGGCGCAGTGCCGGGTGCCTGTAGTCCCAGCTACTCGGGAGACTGAGGCAGAAGAATGACGTGAACCTGGAAGGTGGAGCTTGCAGTGAGCAGAGATAGCACCACTGCACTCCAGCCTGGGCGACAGAGCAAGACTCCCTCTCAAAAAAAAAAAAAAAAAAAAAAAAAAGAGAGAGAGAGAGAGAGAAGACACAAAGAAAATCAGAGATGAAAGAGGAGACATTACAACTAATACTGCAGAAATTCCAAAGATCATTAGAGGTTACTGTGAGCACCTATATACCTATACATTGGAAAACCTAGAAGAAAGGAATAAATTCCTTGTCACATAAAACCTACCAGGTTTGCACCATGAAAAAATCCAAACCTGAACAGACCAACACAAGAAATGAAACTAACTTATTACTTGTAAGTATAATAATGAATGTTTACTAAATCTCATTAGTTGTGTTGGTCTGTTCAGGTTTTGGATTTCTTCACGGTTCAATTTGTAATAAAGTCTCTCAGCAAAAACTAAATAAATAAATAAAAGCCCAGGACCTGATGTCTTCACTGCTAAATTTTACCAAACATTTAAAGAAGAACTAATACCAGTCCTCCTCAAAGTACTTCGAAAAATAGAGGAGAAATGAATACTTCCAAACTTATTCTATGAGGATGGTATTATCCTGATAGTAAAACTAGACAAAGACACATCAAAAAAAAAAAGGAAACTATAGGTCAATATCTCTGATGAATATTGATGGAAAAATCCTCAATGGAATACTAGTAAACCAACTTCAACAATACTTTAGAAAGATTATCCGTTATGACCAAGTGAGATTTATCCTAGGGATGCTAGGGTTGTTTGACATTTTCAAACCAATCAACGTGATACATCATATCAACAGAATGAAAGACAAAAAACTTATGATCATTTCAACTGATGCTAAGAAACCATTTTATAAAATTCAACATTCCTTTATCATAACATCTTTCAAAAAAAATGGGTATAAAATGAACATACCTCAACACAGTAAAAGCTATCTGTGACAGACCTGCAGTTAGTAACATACTGAATGGAAAAAAAAAGAACACTGAAAGTGTTTTCTCTAAGATCTGGAACAATACATGAAAACACACTTTTGCTGCTGTTATTCAACACAGTACTGGAAGTTTTAGCTAGGGCAATTAGTCAAGAGAAAGAAATAAAGAGCATCCAAATTGGAAAGGAAAAGTCAAATTATCCTTGTTTTCAGATGATATGATCTTATATTTGGAAAAACCTAAAGACTCCACAAAAAAAATTATTAAAACTGATAAATTGAGTAAAGGTGAAGGATACAAAATCAACATACAAAAAACAGTGACATCTCCATATGTGAATAGTGAACAATCTGAAAAGAAATCAGGAAAGCAATCCTATTTACAATAGCTACAAATAAAATAAAATTCTTAGGAATAAACTTAACCAAAATAGTGGAAGATATCTGTAATGAAAACTATAAAACACTAATGCAAGAAACTGAAGTACACAGAACAAACTGGAAAAGTATGCCATATTCATAGATTGGAAGAATCAATATTGTTAAAATTTTCATACTACCCAAAGCATTCACATGAAATCCCTATACACATTCAATGAAATTCCTATCAAAATACCAATGACATTCTAACAGAATAAAAAAAAGTAATCTTAAAATTTATATACAACGCCCAAAGACCCAGAATTGCCAAAGCTATTCTGAAGAAAAAGAACAAAACTAGAGGAATCACATTACCTGACTTCAAATTATACTACAGAGCTATTGTAACCAACCAGCATGGTACTGGCATAAAAACAGAAACATAGACCAATGGAGCAGAATAGAGAATCATGAAATAAATCCATACATCTACAGTGACCTCATTTTTGAAAAATGTACGAAGAAAGTACACTTGGGAAAGGACATTCTCTTGGTACTGTGAAAACTGGTTATCCATATGTAGAAGAATGAAACTAGATCTCCATCTCTTACCATATACAAAAATCAAATAAAATGGATTAAATATTTAAATCTAAGACCTCAGACTATGAAACTACTAAAAGAAAACACTGGGGAAACTCTCCAGGACATTGATCTACTAAAGATTTTTTAAGCAATATCCCACAAGCACAGGCAACCAAAGCAAAAATGGACACATGAGATCACATCAAGTTAAAAAACTTTTGCATAACAAACGATTAACAAACTGAAGAAACAAACCACAGAATGGGAGAAAATATTTGTAAACTACTCATCTTAGAAATGATTCATAATACTATATAAGGAGCTTAAACAACTTTATAGGAAAAAATATAATAATTTGATTAAAAATACATAAAATATTTGAGTAGATTTTTCAAAAGAAGGCATTCAAGTGCCAACAGTATATAAAAGTGATCACGATCATTGATAATAAGAGAAATGCAAATCAAAACTACAATGCGATATCATCTCAACCCAGAAAAACTTACTTTTCATATTCTTACTTATTTGTGGGTGTTTAAAATTAAAACAATTGAACAAATGGCGATAGAAAGAATAATAATGTTTACCAGAGGCTGGGAAAGGTAGTGGTGGGTGAAAGTATGAATGGTTAATAAGTACAAAAGTATAGTTAGGTAGAATGTATAAGATCTAGTATTTGATAGCACAACAATCAAAATATTGTTGATTATAGTCAACAATAATTTATTGCACATTTTAGCATAACTAAAGGAATACAATTTGGATTGTTTGTAACAGACAGAAAGGATAAATGCTTGAGGGGATGGATGCCCCATTTAACATGATGTAATTATTATGCATAGTATCAAAATAACACCTACTATGTACCCACAAAAATACATAATAAAGCAAATAGGAAGGTCAATCAAGGAACTAATGCAATCTGTTATTTATGAAAAAGAATAAATGACTTACATTTGCTATTGAGAAAAATGGGTGCTCTGCATGGAATATAGAGAAACAGGGTGAGATTGAGAACAGATGTAAAATTATTGTTAAGAAAAAAGGGTAGCCAATTTTAAAGTAAGAATTGTTTTAAAGTAGAAGTTTTGGAAATAGAAAAGAATTTATTGCAGATAATTGGAAAAAAATAGACTTGTGAACACTAACTTATAGATTAGAAATAGAAGTGAAAAAAAGTAAAATAAAAGGTAATTCATTATCTTAATTTTAAAAAATACTATATATTTAATATATACTTATATTTTATAATAAATTGAATATTTTATTATTAATAAAATAAGAATACTTTAAAAATATTAAAAAGTAATAGTGTTTACCATATTTTATGACATCTAATATGAGTTCCTTCAAATTATGTCACTAAATTTGTAAATCAAATGTTTCAGTTAATTGCATTTATGGATATTAGAGAATTAGATTCAGCAAATGCTTTTCCAGGAATTTCAACTTATTAATAAAATGCTAAATACTTCTTTAAGATGAGCAACAGTAAAATTCTCTAAGTAAATATCTCATCTGTGTCTATCATGACACATGGTTTAGAATCTTTCAACAGAGTTTTAATCCTTTTATCTAATTTTTCAGTTCAGCCAATGTGAATCAACTCAGTGTTTCTCATAATGAACCTTGATATTTAATTGTTTTGCTAGCTAAGGAGACTAAAGACACTGACTTTATTGGTTTCATGTTAATTTCAATTTATTTATGTGCATTAACATTTTTTATAAATATCAAACTTCATGACATCTTAAAATGTGTCTATTTGTAGTGATTCATTTATGTTTAAGCTGTCTAAAATTTTCACCAGGCATGCAAAAGTCACATTAGTGGTAGAAAATATTCTGGATGGATATGTTTCTTCTGCATTTGAAACTATATACTAATATTATAAAAATACTTCATGATATAGTGATCCAGTACGTAAATTCATTTTATAACACAAAGTGAAGGTAAAAAAAAGTGATGGATCCCATTAAAACTATTTGTGCATTAAACGATCATTAATGTATAATTTCACATTTTGTTTTATATCAAAAATTAGTTTTGCTTTATGTTAAATTGAATTACTCTATGCACGAATATTTACAGCTTTCCTGTCTGTCCTTTTTGATAATGGATATGAATGCATACTCTGTAGATGGCAAAGTACTACTTAAATGTGGGTTCTTATAATAAAAATTTTATCTTACTTGTGACAAGGAAAATATGCTTCACTATGCTTACTTTAAGAAAATATTACAGGATTTTTTTTCTTTTCAGATCTTAGTATTAACTTGGGTCATCATCAATTTTTCAACCTAACTGCAAAGAGCTCATTAATTTACCAAATTGTGTATTAAAATAGCATGGATGCCACGTGAAGCAGATTATTTAAGTGTGTTCAGCTCTCTCCTTTTCTGGATTTAAAGAAGTTCAATAGATTAATGCTTTCTTAAGTCAATTAATTTTTTCCAACTCTTTTTCTCTACTTTTCTATTTTCATAAGAAGCTTAAACTGATAACAGAAAAAATGTAGATTCCTGCTTTTCTGTCTTTGCTATTTCCTGAAATTTTCAGGGGTGATATTTTAAAATCACTTGGGAAGTTGGGTGCTGTTGCTTGCATTATTATCATTTGATTTTAAAGCCAAATAATCAATTTAGATTTCCTGAGATGAACAGATGGGAATATGTGGGAAAAAAAAAACTACAAATGAGAATTTCTCAATATGTCATTTTTCATGTACTATGTCAAAATCTGATTAAGCACATTTTAAACATCTATAGATTTTATAAAATTTATAGTTAAATACTAATAGTGAAGTGTAAATCAAAATAGCAATGTGTACACATATAACTTAACCTATTAAAGGCCTTAAGAGCACATTAATCCAAAAATATCCACTGAATATCTTATATGTTCCAGGCATTATTCTGAGTGGTAGGGATAGGAAAGGAAATCAGGAATAATTTTTGATTTCAAGAAATTGACAGTCGTGTGGAGGACTGAGACAAGTAACAGACATATATCTATGATGTAGGAGAACATAAACAGAGCATCTCACCAAGGCTTTATGGCTGAGATACTTCCCTACAGGAAAAACAACAACAACAACAACAACAACAACAAAAACTCGTCCAAATTGATACCTAAAGTTTAAACAGGAGAGAGTCTAGAGAAGAGTTAGCGGACAATTCTAGCCAGAGGAAGAATGCCTTCAAATACTGTGGATCAGGGCCAAGGTGCATTGGGAAAACACAAGAAGCTCTAAATGTCTGAGTGTTATATTCCAAGAGAGAAGAGCTGTGAGGCCAGACTACAGGGGTAATCAGGGACCACGTCAAAATCAGCCATGCTAAAGCACTTGGATTTGATCCTGGGGCAATGGTGAAGCAATGGAAACCCTTCACAAGAGCTGCATACCCTCAGCTTTGCATTCTTGTGGACAGTGCAATCACAGTTTATGAATTAGGAGTCAGGAAGATGAGGTTTGAGGCAGTCTTAGTAAAACAAGATGTGGTGGCCTTGACTTATGTAATGATGCAAAGGATAAAGAAATCAGGATAGACATTTAGGTGAAGAGTAATGCATATGAGACTACGAAAATATAAATTAGCTGAAAAGTGAGTGAATTACTTAATAAACTCTCAGAAAGCGTGCCAAGAAGGAAGATTTTCCTCTTAATATTTTCAGTTATGTGGTCATATAAATACATATACAGTATCCAATCTGCAAAGGAATAAAGTAAGATTTTTCATCGTGTATATGTTCATAGTAAAAGAAGTAACTGATGGGCACTTCATTGCCCTAAGCAAATTTATTCATTATTTACCTCAAAATAATCCTTATCATTATTTATTTGCTGTAATGTAAATGAAGAAAACACTCAAGTATTTTAAAATTTTAGAAGCATTCTAATTTGATACATTCTATTAGACCTTATTTTAGTAATAGAATCTTGCTAGAACAGCATGTGTTTCATAGACCCCTTTGAAATCATTTCCTAAAGTTTATCTTTACCACGTAATCATATCCCTCTTTTTATAATGGCTTTTGCTGGCATAAATAGACATGCAGAGATTGAGTTCCAGTCAGTGATAATAAGCTAACCGTATACAGTACAATTAATTTTTTTACTAAGCTAAATGAGTGAGGTATTGTTTTATTCATCCTTAAAACTGAAAGCTTTTAGATTATGTGTGTACATTAGTGAACCATTATGTCCTGCAATATTACTGGCTATTTTTTTTCCATAAAGAGGCTGCCAACTTGACTACATTTTATTAAATGTCTTTTTTAAAAATGAATTGTGAAACACTACTTCCATTTCCAATAAAGTTCTCTTCTAATTATTCTATTCTTAAATACAAAACAAGTCCAAAGTTAATTGCAGTAACCTATCACTTTTCTTTGCAGAATGCAATTTAACTCCTACAGGATCATTTAACATTCCTGCCGATCACTAGTTTCAGCGCACTTTACATACCAAATTCATTAGCAAGGGAAGGCAACCACATTAAATGGGAAAGGATTTATCCCACCTCAGCAAGCTATCCTCTGTGCCTAACACTGCGTCTTTTCATGCAGCATTTTAATCTCATGATTGCACTGTAATAATGTTATACAATCCTATAAGCCTAACATTTGAATTTGGAAATCTTTTTGCCTTAAAATGATACCAGACAATCCAAAGACAAACTTACATCTTTCAGTTTATTGCAAAATTTAAGAAAGTATGTTTCTCTGTTGTTTCTTAACCATGTGATATTAATATCATCAAAGCATATTTGTGATATATGGTATTTGCTTTCAAAATCACTAGGAAATAAAAATTACATAGTTTTTAGTTGTTATAAGGTGATAAGTATTGAATTGTTTCAATAAAAGTAAAAGAATTTCTATATTAAAATTTAAATTTGAACCGTCATGTTAACAATTACTTCTTCTATAAAAGGCCTGGTATCTTAGCTCATGAAATGTCTCTAATGAGGAAGGAAGCCTGGTAAGTAAGCAGACAGTCCCTTGACAACTCATTAAACAGATCTTCTCCTACAGTGCCAGCTGTAGCCTCATTCTTCAGGAACAATGAGTAAGATCAGAGTAAAAAGATTTGGCAGTCTGAGGAATCTGGTCACCAGCACTACTTTTAATACCAGTCCAGAGGCTCTTCTGACCACCACCATTTCCTTCAGTGTCCTCAACTACGTGATTTACGTATTCAGATATAATTATTCTCATTTTGTGATTAATCGCCTTTCTTCCTTGTTAGGGATTGAATTGTGACTCCTCGAAATTTGTATGTTGAACCCCCAACATCAGTGTGGCTGAATTTGGAAATAGGGACTTTGTGGAGGTAATTCAGGTTGAACGAGGTTATGGGGTGGAGCCCAATAGGATTAGCATCCTTGTAAGAAGAGGAAGAGACACAGGGAAAATATATACACTGAAAAAATCTCCATGTGAGGACAGCACAAGAAGACGGCCATCCACAAACCAAGGATAAAGACCTTGGGAGAAAGCAACCCTGATGGCACCTTAATCTTGAAGGGGTGGGTGTGTGTTTTCACATGAACACTTACTTCTCACGGTATATGCACCACCCTGACTGAGAATAAGAAGCAGGTGATCAGTGAGAGGCTCACCCCTATTTTCCAGGAGTGAAATCCCACCAGTCTTAAATGGGGTGGGGCAGTGCTAAATATGTTGTGGAGTCCCTTGATGACTTTAACCTTAGAAAGTTGAGGCTCACTCATAGAATGGAATAAAAGCATCCTTATCTGTTCTCAATTTACTTACTGATGTTTCTGTATTTGTGATGGGAGTGAATCATGAAATTGTATCATCTCTTTCAAGAATGCCAGCCATTTTCCAAACCAACAATTACTCGTATCCTTTGGGAAAAAAAATTCCAGTCAGTTTCTTAGGATTATGGCCATAGTCTATGTACAAATTTCATTCAAAAGAAAACAGATGGCCATTCTGGCAAACTGACTTGAATTTTGTGCTATCTGGAACATCATTCCTGCATTCAAAGAGACTCTCAACTCTTAAGAATATCAGAAATTCATCGACATGGCCTTTAACAATTCCAGATATATTCTTCAGACGTCTGCTCTATAGTGTTAAAAATGTTGCCAAAATACAATTATATCAATGAGAGGGAAAAGTAAATATTGAAAGGACCACTGATGGACTGCCACGGTTACACTGAGATGAGATTGTCTTCTGTAACGACATTGTGAAATCCAGTATTTCTGGAATGAAAATCATTTTGGCTACAGTGATAGTGGGAGTAAACCTCATTGTCTACATTATCAGTCCCTATAACAGTTCAAAAAGAAAAGCGATAGTCAGATGCCAGGGAGACACTTATTCAACGATTTTTCCATGACACTGGAAATTTTCATCCTGCACTGATTCCAACCTAGATACCATTAAGTGAGAGACAGTAATTCAGAACTCTTCCCAGCATACATCATATGTCACAGAGATAAAGAGATCATTGTGTCTAATAGGGGAAATATGCGGGCATGTGAAAACGCACATACCTCTTCAAGATTAAGGTACCATCAGGCATGATTACTCTGGAGGCCTTTCTCCTTGGCTTGCAGATGGCTGTCTTCTTGTGATGTCCTCACATGGCCTTTTGTTCTGTGAAAGCACTCTCCCTGTGTCTCTTCCTCTTCTTATAAGTATACCAGTCCTACTGGGCTCCATGTTCATGACCTCATTTAATCTGAATTACCTCCACAAAGGCTCTACTTACAAATTAAGTCACACTAGATGATAGGGGTTTAACATATAAATTTTGAGGGGACACAATTCAATCCATAACAAAGAGGAAAGTAGATTTTTTATAAAGCTTTTCCAGAATCCCAAATAGTGTTGGACATAGATGTTGTCAGTAAAATGGGAAGAATAAAGTGAATCTGATATATATTTTGGAGATAATGGGCAGGGTAATGGTAGATGGTGTCTCCATCCTCCTTACTCTGATTTGAGGTGATATTTATTGCTATTAACTAGATCAGAAGAGAACAACTCTGAAGCTGAGGAAGGAAGGAGACACAGGTTCCTTTTTGACATAAGTGTGTGATACTATGCTTATGAAATGTCTCAGGAAGATCTCCTGGAAAACAGCATACCTAAAATGATTTTATAAGCCAAGTGAAATACACTTTAGTTAAGACGGTAGAAGAAATGAGGCCTGTGGAATAAATGTATTTCATGAATAAAGAATAGCATTTGTAATAGCTCTCAGATGGCAAAAACATATTATTCACAGGGTTTGTGGGTCTGGTTAGAGAGGAAAACAATTTTTCTTAGGTCTAATTCACCTTGTGAGAGAATTTGGCTTTATTCTAAATTCAGAAATAGGTTTTCTTTGGAATTTGCATCATAAGATATGTAACTAAAAAACATATACAGAAAACAATCAACTTGGTACTTCTCAAATAAAACTACCTATTTATAAATAAAGTACTTTTATTTGATCAGGAAAAAAACACCTTATATGATTATGTTATGTTTGATCCAGAAATAAAATGATATACAGAAAGAAAAAACTTGGCAGTAATAATTTTCTGAACATCAGGTGGAATAATCACATTGAATTTATTTTCCATAGAAACTCATAGAGCTGGGATATGCATAATGTTAATATTATTTATACTTGATTCAGTCAGAGAACTTTCAATGTTTCAAACTCAATATTAAATTACTTGGATATTAATTACTGGGATCATCATCAAAGGCCAAATGACACCTTACATATTTACAACAAATCAGTATTAAGTTATAATAAGAAAATTATCCTGCATTATTAAATAAAATATCTATATTTATATTGATCTTCCCTCCTCTGCTTATTTTTAAATGTATGATAATCATCTTTGGGAGTTAAAGCAGCTAGGCTTTCTTAAATAAGCAATGATTGAATTAAAGGCTAGCAATAGTGAGCTTCACCAGAGCAGTATTTTGGGGGGTATAACTAGACAAATCCCAACTGGGTTTTGTTTTGTTTTGTTTTTTGAGACAGGGTCTCACTCTGTCACCCAGGCTGGAGTACAGTGGCACAATGACGGTTCACTGCAGCCTCCATCTCCCAGGCTTAAGTGATCCTCCCACTTCAGCCTCCTAAGTAGCTGGGACTACAGGCATGAACCAGCATGCCTGGCTAATTTTTGTATTTTTTGTGGAGATAGGGTTTCATCATATTGCCCAGGCTGGTCTCAAATTCCTGGGCTCAAGTCATCTGCCAGCTTTGGCTTCTCAAAGGATTGGGATTACAGGCATGGGCCACGGGGCCTGGCCCAAATCCCAGATGTAACCAGAATTTTTGCACATGGAACAAAAAGACAGTTAACAGTTGATACAGTGAGTATCATTACAGGTAACTCTGAACTTCATCATTCTAGTTAACAAATTAAAAGCTGGTCTTCTTGAAAATCTCAACGATTGGCCGGGCGCGGTGGCTCACGTTTGTAATCCCAGCACTTTGGGAAGCCGAGGCGGGTGGATCATGAGGTCAGGAGATCGAGACCATCCTGGCTAACACTGACTCTACTAAAAATACAAAAAAAATTAGCCGGGAGTGGCAGCATGCGCCTGTAGTGCCAGCTATTTGGGAGGCTGAGGCAGGAGAATGGCGTGAACCCAGGAGGCGGAGCTTGCAGTGAGCCGACATCGCACCACTGCACTCCAGCCTGTGTGACACAGGAAGACTCCGTCTCAAAAAAAAAAAAAAAAAAAAGAAAAAGAAACAAAGAAAATCTCAACCATGAAGTATACGATTCTTGAAAGTATTATAAGCAATTTTGCTCTTTTACAGAATATACCTTCTGTAAAGATGAGGATTTAGTGAGCTGTTGAACTTGATTTTGAAAAAGAGGAGAAATCTAGATCATTATACTTCTAATAAAAGATTATAACGGTATCATTTTCCTTCAGAAAAGTTTTACAACAAAAGATTAGTTTAAAAATATTAGATGAGAGTTGGTCATGGTCGTTTATTTTCATCTGCTGGTATTCTTTATATTTTTGTCTTTTCCTTTTGCTATTTTGGATAAGGGCAAGCTTAGTTATTTTCTATGAAAGTCTGGGCCTTGCATATTAATTGAAATAGTGTGAATAGCCTTGTAGAGAAAAAAAATTCAATCCGACTTACATGTGAATTTATTTATCATGTATTTTTGCTCAACTTAACGCAATTAATAATTGTGGGCACAAAGTATCAGTCACTGCAAAAACATGCAAGTTTACATGTTATTTCATAAGGCTTTAGCCATCGCACTATGAATACTGAAATAAAATAATGGTTACAAATACCTAAGCTTTGAGCATCAAAAAAATTGTCATATAATTATTTCTGATTAAGAAGCTATCAGTGGCTTACTGAAATATTGAGATAAAAATGTTATTATAAACACAATGAATCATGTTTGTGATAAGAAAAATTTTTACATTAAAGTTTATATATGCTAAGGAAAAGACTCTAAGAGCCATAGACAGCTAACTAATGATAAGTATTTGCGTTAGTAGTTATTATATTTCTCTACTCACCTACACAAAAAATTAGGTTTCAACTAAACAACAACAAAAAGTAGTATATAATCACATAATCTTAGATCTGGAAATTTCCTTACTTAAATGGAAATTGGTCTCAGCTTTCTTCCAAAGTAAGCATTCATCAGCTTTAATTTCTGCCAGATGTTTTCTCAGTCATATTTAATAAAAAATAAATTCAAATTTGAGAGCACATTGTGGTGGACTGTCCAGTATTTATTCTCTTCCTCCCAAATCAAGTACCAGTTTACTGAATTAGTCTCAGTAGGAATGATTCTGGTAATCTCATCTCCTGTGGTTGGTTTAAGGAACTACTGTGACCAAACTGTCAACAGTACGATATAAAAAGGTATATGTTGAGAATATGTAGCCCAAATTGCTTATATTAAAGGCTGTTCATTGATCATGAGGAGAATGAGGCTTAGAATGAAGCAGACAGAAAGGACAAAAATAAGCAGAGTTGCAATAAAAAAAGGTGGATCCTTAATGACCTGAGTGAGTGACCCATCCAACCAATCCTGAAACCCAAATTACTTCTAAGCATTCTTTTATGTGAGTAAATACATTTGCTTATGGTTTAAGTGAATTTCAGTTGAATTATCCATTTCAGTAATTGCCGCTGGAAAATGCCAAATAGTAATCAAACCACTCTACAAATTAATGATCCTTCTTTATATGCTTACCACTCTGTTAAATTCCTTCTGAATACAATATATTTGAGGTGGGCCTCATTCTTTTGCTTTTGAAAAATACATTGTGACATAGTATACTTCTATTCAAGAATGTGCTATATAATTAATGTTTGAATTCCTCCCTCTCCCATGACCTCAATTGTTCCAAACACACAGCTATAAGAGACAAATTATCAGAGGAAAAATGATGAATAATATGCATATACAATGTAATGCATGCCATAAACAAGACAGAGCTAACACAGTAGACATATAGAGTGCCAGACCCAGAAATGGGCAGAAGTGCCCAGGAGTTCATACCTTAAGTTAAAAAAGAAGGCAGAATGTCAAAGCTTTCAGTGAGTGTCAGAGATCTAGAAACAATTGTAATGAAGAAGAGTCATGGTTAGATGCTGACAAACTAAACAAAATGAATCAAAGGACACAACATGGTCAATCTTTCAAGTGAAGCTTATAAACTTGAGAATTCAGGAATTCAGAATAAAGTAAAATCTGTTCTTATGCAGAATTTAAATTAAAATACATGATGACTGACTGTATGTGTGATACCACAGAAGAGGATTTCTGAGTCTCCAGTGTAAGAGACAGATCTGATCTGAGGTGTGGAAGAAAAAAAAAACAGATAACAAAAATGACAAGTAAGAGATAAAATCAGATAAAGAAAGAAAAAGTCAACTCTAGATTAGATTTTAAAAAAATCTGAAAGTTAAAAAGAATGTTGTCACTAAGAAGGTCAGCAAACCAAATCAGAAAACAAATTCAATTCAGAAAAAAATGAAAATAATACAGCAATCTAAAAATTATATTTGTGTGTTTATAGCTTAAAGATATATAGAAAGTTACATTTTTAGAAATAGAGTAATTAAAGCCTTAAAACATAAAGCAAAAGTCCTCTAAGGGCAGGCGGGTAAGGCAAATAGAATTCCTAAATGTAAAACACTAGTCAGTGAAATTAAAAAAAAAAATTATATTTTAACAAATTCTAATCTACTCAAAATAGAATAATGAGATAATTAGTGGGTTGGAGAAACGTATAGAAAAAAATTACCTATTCTGTAGAACTGTATAAAATATCTCAAAAAAATGTAATTAGTTGACCAAACATGGTGGCTCACACATGTAATCCCAGCACTTTGGGAAGCCAAGGTAGGCAGATCACCTGAGGTCAGGAGTTCAAGACCAGCCTGGCCAACATGGTGAAACCTCATCTCTACTAAAAATACAAAAATTAGCTGGGCATGGTGGCGTGCGTCTGTAATCCCAGCTACTTGGGAGGTGGAGTCTGCAGTGAGCCAAGATCAGCCTGGGCAACAGAGCGAGACTCCATCTCAAAAAAAAAAAAAAAATGTAATTAACTGTACACTGTGGAGTACTTTGTCACTACTTCTTTCATTTAACATAATCTTTGCAAGCTTCGTCCTTGTTGTAACATGTATTTTTTTATTGCCTAATAAGATTCCATTGTATGGATGTATCACATTTTATCCATTTATCATTTTTGAATTATTTCCATTTCTTGGCTATTATCAATAATGCTGCTGTGAACAATTGTGTATAGTCTTTCGTGTGAACATATACTTTGATCGCTCTTTGATATATACCTCAGAGTAGAATTGCTGGGTCATATGGTAACTCTGACCATTTGAGGAACTGCCAAACTGGTTTCCAAAGTGGCTGCACAATTTTACACCCCCTTCTCAATACTTATTATTATGCTGTTTTGTTTTGTTTTCAACTTTAGCCATTATAGTGGTGATATCTCATTCTAGTATTGATTTGCATTCCCCTAATGACTAACAATGTTGTGTGTGCTTTCATGTGCTTACTGGCCCTTTGTGTAACCTCTTTGGAAAAAATTAACGAACTATTGGTTTCGTTATTTGCTTATTTTTAAAATTCGGTTATTTGCTTTTTCATTATTGAATTGTAATAGCTTTTTATAGAGTATAGAGACACATCTCTTATTAGATATGCAATTTGCAAAATTTCTCTCATGTTGTGGGTTTTCTTTCACTTTTTTGATGACTCCTCTGATAAGTCTATTATGCTATGCCCAATTTATTTTTGTTGCTTGTATTTTTTGTCATATCTAAGAAAAAATTAGATATGACAATTTCTAATTTATTAGAAATGTCAAATATGAAATGTCAAATTAGAAATATGACAAAAAAATTTTGTCATATCTAAGAAAAAATATCTAAACCAAAGATGATATACACTCCTGTATTTTCTAAATATTTTATAATTTTAGCTCTTCATGTATGTCTTTTATCTTATTATTCATTTACATCCATTCCTAGTTAATTTTAATACATGGTGTGAGGTAGGGGGCCAACTTGGTTATTTTTCTTACTAATATCTAGTTATTCCAGAACCATTTGTTAAAAAAATTTTCCCCTACATTGAATTTTCTTGGCACACTATTCAAAAATCAATTGACTGTAAATGTGAAGTTTTATTTCTGGACTTTCAAATCTAGCCCATTTACCCATATGACTTCGTATTCTTATGGATTACTATAGCTTTGTAGTTAGTTTTGCAATTGAGACATGCAAACCTTTTAATCTTGTTCTTCTTTTCAAGATTGCGTTGGCTATTCTGGATCACTTGAATTTCCTTTTATGTTTTAGAAAAGACTTGTTAATTTCCGCAAATAAATCACTGGATTTTTGATAGGGGTTTTGTTGACTTTGCAGGTCAATTTGGAGACTATTGTCATCTTCACAATATTAAGTCTTCTGACCCCTGAACATGAGGATGTCTTTCTTTGGGTCTTTCTAATTTCTTTCAACAATGTCTAAAGTAATGTTTTACACTTCTTTTGTGACATTTCTTCCTAAATACTATATTATTTTTCATGTCACTACAAATTGAAGTTTTTTTTTGGTTTTCATTTCATTTTTGGTTTGTTCATTGGTACTGTATAGAAATATAATAAATTGGTGTTTATTTACCTTGTATCTTACAACCTTGTTAAACTCGCTTATTAATTTTAAAAGGTTTTTCTTTATACCAGATCAAATAAACTACAATAGAGACACTTTTAACTCTTCCTTTCTGATATAGATGCCTTTTATTTCATTTTCTTGCTTAATTGCTCTGGCTAGAACTTGCAGAACAATGTCAAATAGAAGTGGTAGATGCAGACATCTTTGTCTTATTCCTGAGATTAAGGAAAAATCATTCAGTCTTCACAATTAATTATAATTTTACCTGTGTATTTTGCATAGATGCTGTTTATCAAAACCAAGAACACAGAGGTAGAGACAAGAACTGCTGACACTCATTCCCAGGTAACAAAACTGAACCTTAGGAAAAGAAGTGGCAACGTATACCCAACTGTATAAAGATTGCTATAACCTGTGCCTTCTATTTGCCTGTTTTTCCTTCCCTTCTGAAATGATTTATTTTGCAGTATCATTTTTTCACTATTGTAAGTTGGGTATGTTGCAGATCTTCAGACCTAAAAAGATTTATCCTATACCTGGAACTGATATAGATAACAAAACCTGAATGCCAATTTGAGCCTCATCTGATGAAAGGAGACTTTTGCATTTGTTGAAACGAGTGTCTGTATTTTACATGAGAGAGGAATTTGAATAATTTGATAAACATAGGAAAAATTGTAATGTATTTGAAAAGCCCTTCATACTTTTTGAAACAATCAAATGAAACAAATTGTGTGTGTGCATGTGTGTGTGTATTTGTGTGCGTGTGTATGTGTGTGTGTGTTTTTCTGGGCTCAAAAGAATAAAGAGACAAAAGACTAAAAAAAGAAAAAAAAAAAGCATTAAGCCGAAATTATAAAGGTAGAAATAATTATAAAGCGTTCTATTCTCCCTTGAGGCACAAAGCCAATACTTTGAAATCAAATTTTATGAATTAATTGATACTCTTGTGAATGAAACTTGAGGTCAAACAAAGCTGAACAAGAGATCTCTGATAGGCTATGGCTATGTTTACAGGATCTACACCTTCATCAAAAGGGGAGCTCTGGAAATTTTTGCCTGGCTGAAGACTAAAGGCAAAAGAAATGCTATAGTTAGGCTATCTGTTTTTTATAACTAAAATAGCTAAAACAAACAAATATATTAATAGTATTAATATTTTCTCAAAATATTTGAAACAGTAGTCCTACCTTCAAATGAAGCTGGGTCTTATAGTTATGATCACTCCTCCTTATTGTGTCAAATAAACTTTATGTCAAGATATTAAGTTTAAGAACACTGAGTTATGTGTATTTCTGGAGTGTGGCAGAAGCAAATACAAAACATCTTGTAGAAAACATTCTTATTTCTTATTCTCTCAAAATTTACTCAGAATAAATTCAGCCAATTAGAAAAATAGAGCCCAAACCCACTAAATTAATAAAGAAATAATAAACCTTGACAATGAAAGTAATATGAAAAATAAACAACTGCTTGAGGCAGTTGCTTTAAACTTTCAGGTATTAGAATAATCATATATAGCATACAAAGTAACCATGTAGAAATAAAATTTTTGAAATAGCCATGAATGAGTCTACTCAAAATTACCACTCATACACAGAACAAAAAGGACTATAAAAGTGAAATTACAATAAATGAAATAAAATATATTTAATGGGTTGTTTGAATAGTAACTTAGATATACCTGAAAAGACAATTAATTTAAAAAATTATAAGAAATTATTCAGAATGTATGAAATATAAAATATGAAAAATTAAAGAACATATATGATGGAATGAGGCTTACCATAGGTCTAATAAGAATTCCCAGAGGAAAAAAAAGTAGGAGAAAAATACTCAAAATGAATATAGTTAATTTTTTTTCCCAAAACTGCTGAAAGAATGGAAACTACTAATAAATGAACATAAACTATTCTAAGTAGAATTAATAAAAATAAATCCAGAGCTAGATATATTATGGTGACACTTTAGAACATCAAACACGAAGAAAACCAAAGAGAGAAGACACCATCCACAAAAAAATACAAATAACATCACAACAGGTTTCAAACAACATCAACGAAAAAAGACAGAAGACTATGTAATAATACTCTCGATTTTTAAACAAAGTAACTTTCTTCCTGACATAATGCTGTAATTGCCTAAATTATTATTCAAATTGGAGAAAATAAATATAGTTTTCAAAAACCAAAAAATTATATGTAAACTGCCACTACTTTTGCACAAAACATGAATTTCTACAGTTATATATTTCAGTAGAAAGTCAAGAATGAATGATTATTGAAGAAATTGATATAATTGTGAGTAAATCTAAAGTAATAGTATATCAAATGATAATGTCTAATCTATAGGTTTAAAGTAGCAATTCAAGATAGAGCTACAATAAGTGACAACAGTGTGGTGTGAAGTGTGAATAGTGTGTGAAGTGATTAGGAAGCGTTAGAAAGAATTGTTCACATAAATAGTAGCAACATTGATCAATTTTGGACTTTTCATGGTAGTATACATAAAATATTTTAAAGAGTCAACAAACAAATAGTAAAATATATTGTTTCTAAACTAGTGGAGAGAAAAAAATTAGAAAGAAAAAATTAATTCAAAAATGATTTAAAAAATGTGAAAAATATAAAGTGGAGAATTCTGTGCCAAAATAAGTCAATGTACTACAATAATCAAAACAAACGTAAATGTATTGAATTTACTAGTTAATAGAATTTGTCAAATTTGATTAAAAATACACCTATTTGCTATTTGTACGAAAAATATAAATGTAAGAATACACAAGACTGAGTATGAAAGAGCGGAAAAACAAAATGCCAGGCAAATGAAAAGTCAAAGAAACATGGGGCAGTTATATTCACATCAGACACACAAAAAAGAAACTCACCAAAATAAACAATTTTAAACTTAATGCATCCAATAAGTAGGTCTGAAAATAAATGAAATGAATCTACATCATCCTAGAAGAGATAAACAGATCTTTCTAAAGTATGATTAGTCCTAGAATCAGTTATGCAATAGATAAGATATAAACAATTAAAATGACTAATTTATGTAAAAATACAGAAATCTGTACCAAAGAAACAAACAATGCATATTTTTCTCAAATACATATGAGATTTTTATTAAAATTCAATATATTCAAGGCCATAAAATAGTTGTTCACACAAGCAACCTATGAAATGGGAAAAAAAATGCAAACCTTATATCTAACACAGGGTTAATATTTAAGATATATAAGGAATTCAAAAAGCTCAACAGAAAGAAAACAGATAACCCAATTATAAAATGGGCAAAGGACCTGAATAATTTCTCAAAAGAAGACATACAAATTATCAACATATATACAAAAAAAAGTTAACTATCACTAATCATCACGGAAATGCAAATTAAAAACACCATGAAATATCATCTCATACCTGTTAGAATGGCTATTATCTAAAAGGAGAAAGATACATGTTGGCAAGGATATCAAGAAAATGGAAACTTTGTACACTGCTGAGTGGAATGTAAATTAGTACAGCCATTTTGGAAACAGTATGGAGAGTCTTAAAAAATCAAAATACAGAATGACTATATGATTTAGTAATCCTACTTCTGCTTATCTATACAGAAGAAATAAAATTTGTATATCTGCATTCCCATGTTTATTGTAGCATTATTCACAATAGCTAAAATAAGAAATCAACCTAAATGTCCATCAGTGGACAAATGAATAAGGAAAATGTGGTTTACACACATAATTGAATACCATTCACACTTTGGAAAAAGAAATCCTGTCATTTGCAACAACACAGATGAACCTAGAGGGCATTATGGTAAGTGAAATAAGCCAGACGCAGAAAGTTACTACATCCTCTCATTTTTATGTCAAATCTAAAAAAGATGAACCCATAAAAGCAGAGAGTAGAATAGTGGTTACCAGGTGCTGGGGTGGGCAGTAGGATGGGAGTGGAAGGACATTGGTCAAAGGACACAAAATATCAGACTACGGAATAAATTCAAGAGATCTGTTTTACAACATGGTGACTATAGTTAAAAACAATGTATTGCATACCTGAAAATCACTAAAAGTAAATTTTAACTGTTCTCATCATAAAAGAAAATAAGTGAGGCAACACATATGTTAATTAGCTTAATTAAGCCACTCCACCAAAATGTCTACATTTTTATAAACATCATGTTGTACATCAACAATATATACATATAATTGTAATTTGTCAATTAAAATTTAAGGTGTTAATTAAAAATAGCTTTCAATAATTTTCACAGGTTTGCATGGAAATTAATGTTTCCAACTAAGTAGCAAGAAAAATAATAGCAGAAGTGCCTCAAAAAATGCTAAAAACAGAAATACATTATTTTTAAGCATGCCAAATAATAATTATCAGAAGCTGTCTGCCTAAATATAGTAAGAGAGCCAGTAACCATTTCATTGCTGAACCAATTCTGAGACTACCCCGATGCTGACCCTCTTAATATATAAAAGTCAATGTTGTCATTATTTAACCTTTATAGTTAATTCTTACGCTGGCAGTTGTAAATAATCGAAGTCAACTTTGTGTATAAATCACTATTTGATATACCAGATATTAGTAATGTTGAGGGGAAAGTACATTTTTCTACCAGCTGACTGCACAGGCAGTCAGAAGCAAGTAGTGTTGTTCATCAATCATTAGAATATGATATTAAATATTTTATAGAAATTTAGTTATTTTTAATTTTTGTATAAATTGCTATTTACTGCCATTCTCTACTCCTGATTGCCGCAAGAAAAAAAAATTCCTCTAAACCTTTTTCTCTTCTCGCTAGACATCCTTCAACTTCAGGAAAAAGGAATTGAACTAAGCCAGCTGATGAGTTTGAGAGGAAAAACTGCACACAGCAGGTGAACACCTTTCTCTCTCCGTCACTGGAGTGCCTGCCTGTCTGTGGACTTAGAATTCTCTTCTATTTTTCTGTGCCATCAGTTTTAAAGGACTGATGGGATGGCAGATATATTGCAATTTTGGATAGAAAGTTAAATTCAAACAAGCGTTCAAATCTTTTGCTTGGGCCAAGAATATATTTTTAAAAAGACAAGTTATAGAATTTGGGACAATAAATTTTAAACAGAGAATGAAATGTTTTACATGACAAAGGTGAGTGAATTTAAACTCTAGTGGTGTTTTTTAATGATAAACCCCAAGCAATTTCTTGAATTTGATCGCTTGTGATTGCCTCTTTTGTAGGACTGCTTTTACAATTGTGTAGCAGACACCTGGGCAATGTAGACTGACAATTTTCCATGGATGGCTTACATTTCTTCACAATTTTGACAGTACTTATTACAGATAATCTGTCAAATATGTTTGTATAAAACACAATATAAGGATAGTTTTGGAATATAAAGATAGTTTCTCCCTCTAGGAGACAGGGGAAATTTATTTGCTGTCCAGGAGACTAAAGACAATGTCTCCCTCTGGGCAAAGATAGGACACACATGCTACTAGTCTTCTTACAAGATTGAGAGTGTTTTAAGCTGTGGTTTCTCAACCATGACACAAATTTACTACGTGTGCAGCGCCTATTTGGGCCACTTCTCATCCTCCTGCGGGAGATGAAGTAATGTAAACATAAAGCTCATATTGCCAGTGCCATAAGTGATAAAGTCCTTTGTCTCTAACCTAGGAATCTTGTTTTTTCTACCAGTATCTATGAAATTGTGGATGGTTAATTTGTTAGCTCGTAAATAGAGTAAAATATCAAAGCATTCTCAGATCTTAAGGAAAGAGGTATTAAGTCTTAGATCATATGCTATTTTGATTGACATTTTGATGTCTATATTTATAGAAAAATATATTTTAAAAAATTTTATGGAGAAGTTACAGTTCAACAAAAGGTCCCTAGGTTTCAGCAGAGCAAGTCTTTACAAAAGGTCTTAATAAGATTAGAGATCTCAAAAGCTAAGAATGGTATAGAAGGGGCCGTGTTGGCAGCTTCAGACAGATAACAGGGCTTTACATTGATAGTTTGCTTCTGGTGACTTTTGCTATGTAGAATTCCTGGCCTAATTTGCAAATGAGGGTGGAGCAGCATTAAAAATCTTTAGTTCTAGGTGAGGAAAACCACCAATGCTGCTAATCTGAAAGGCAGCTAAACTATTGGTGCTCCACAACTCTAATGAAATTCTCACTTTACATCATTATTCTCATTCAGCGGTGATACAACTGTTGATACATTTTTTTCTTAAAATGACCTTCAAGGCCTAAAGATGAAACTCTGGGAGTGACTATCCTTGAATTAATGTAGTTTGTTCAAGTTCACTCTGTTCATTTCAAGACCTGTAAACATAACATCAGTTTTCTGGAATGAATATTATGACTTCAATGAAAGAACGGGAGACATATTTTAATAATAAATATTTACAAAAAGTATTTATGATAAGTTCTTCTTACACAAGCACAAAAGGCCCTTTGTAAGGACAACTTATCTTATTGGATTGAAGATCCAGCTTATCATATTGGATTTTCAGTGATTTCCACAACTCATGGAAATCACTGAAAATCCTAAGATTTTTCTAGCCCTTCCCACTAAATGTATTGTCCATGAATCAGCAGCATTGGCACTATTCAGGATGTATACACATCCTGATCTATTTCTCATGCCCTGATCCAAGAATTAAAAGTTGCACATTATGAAAACTTTGGGTTATTTTTACTTAGGTTGAAGTTTGGGAAATACAGCCTTAATAGAGCCTACATTGTTCCTGGGAATTAGGAGTGCTGTGAAAA
This sequence comes from Homo sapiens, assembly GCF_000001405.40. Taxonomy (NCBI): domain Eukaryota; kingdom Metazoa; phylum Chordata; class Mammalia; order Primates; family Hominidae; genus Homo; species Homo sapiens. The sequence goes on from NC_000003.12 coordinate 104,426,856, forward strand.
ATCAAAGATAAGCTAAAGTGTTTTGAAAAATGCTTCTTATCAGCAAAGGAGCAGTTGAAAATAGGAAAAAAATGAAGGAAGATAGGTTGATTAAGCTGGAGGTGGAAAGAAGTTTCCTCAAGTGGAAGCATGAACTGTAAAGCACAGGCTGTACAAATAAAACAGGAGAGATTAAATCATAAAAGTCAGGATAGATTGATATGAAAAGACAAAATAAATACTCCTTGTTGTTTAAAAAGATACTTCAGGCCAGGTGTGGAAGCTCACGCCTGTAATCCCAGCACTGTGGGAGGCTGAGGAGGGTGGATTGCTTTAGCTCAGGAGTGCGAGACCAGCCTGGGCAACAGGGCGAAACCCTGTCTCTGCAAAAAAAGAAACACAAAAATTAGGGCATGGTAGCATGAATCTGTGTTTCCCGCTACTAAGGAGGCTGAGATGGGAGGATTGCTTAAGCCCAGAAGGCAGAGGTTGCAGTGATCTGATACCGCAACACTGCACTCCAGCCTGGGCGACAGAGTGAGACCCTGTCTCAAAAAAAAAAACAAAAAAAAGAAAAAGAAAGAAAAGAAAAGAAAAAAAACCCAACAACAGAACAAAACAAAAAAACTATGCTTTAGTCCTTACTAGGTCAGAAACAGTGTCTGAAGCCCTACAAAATCTAACAGAAGACAAGAAAGAATCAGGTCTCAGACAGCAAACTAGAATGACTTTCGCAGAGTCCTTGGGTCCAGAAAACAAGTGAGTAGATGCTTCCTAAAGCTACAGTTTGAGAATGCAAAATGAACAAACACACTTACACAAGTGTTTACATAAAATTTGGGCAGTTTTGAATGGACTAGATCAGGAAGACAGTGTAAAATATTTAAAGAATTACTAGGTGAATTTCAGGGTGACATCATTTTTGTGTATGTGAATCCTATTCTTTCCTGAGTGTCCTAAGGATATAAAATTATGAATATATGGAATTAAAATTCTAAGAGAAGATAAATAATAAAATATGTTAAAGAGGAGCTAGATAGGATAAAAATAGATGGAGACAGGGCTAGAGTTTATCAAGCAAATACCCCATGGGAAAAACCTTCTGGGCAGAATTATTCAATGAATGTAAGTACATTTTTTGAATTGATGATTTTGGTAGGTACAAAAGGCACTGACTACGAAACCTTATTTGAATTATGGGAGATCCCTCAATTTCAAACCTTAAAGGATATGTTACAACAATATCTGAGACAGGAAGCAAATGGAAATGGAAATGGAAAAGATTCCAACAAAAACTACCTTGGATAGGCAAGGACAGAGTTGAACTACAAATGGTTTAAGCTATTATAACTTCAACTAAGCCTTCCAAAAGGGAAATAAAAATACTAAAGACATATGCCACTATAGAAAATTCCCTAATGTAAAAAAAAAAAAAAAGAATGTAGCAGAAAGAAATGCTATCAAATTTCTGCATTATTCAAAAAAACAAAAAAGCATGATAAGAAGCACATGACAGATGCATCAATAGCAGTTTTAGTTCAGAAAACCCTAGTGGATAAATTTCCAGCTGAAACCAATGTGGGGTTGGGAGAAACTTGCCTGAGAGAGGAGGTTCATATGCTTAAGCTGCCATGTGGCACAGGATAGAGAGGACTGCTCACAAGAGATAGTAAAGGCCATGTCACTAGCAGAGACTACCTCCATGTAGTGTTGTCCTGCCATGCAGTGTTGTCCTGCCAAAAATGTGGGGCTCCAAGGAGAATTGTAAATTAAGAGTTTGAATACGCTGGATGAGAAAGAAAGGCTTGTCAAATAAGACTTGGTGATTGAGACTGTCACCATTGCAAATTTCTAAACTTTGCCAGAAGGCAGAAATATCTCAAATGCTGTTCTAAGTGAAGGAACATTTGCATAATGGAGTTTCCCCCCAGATATCCTAAACCTAGTGGCATAATTAACCTCTTTATGTAAGATTTTTCCCAATCCATCCTATATTCACAAACCATGGACTCTAGACACCTACATAAATAACTGGTACTTCGGCAAAGCTGAAACCCAGATGTTCCCTTTTTGCCCCTTCCTCAGATACCATTGAATTTGTTGTATGGTCTTTGGCAGCACTCAGTATGGGCGTCTGAAAAGAAAAATTTGCCTCTTGTAACTGCACTGGTGCTCAAAATTCAGACATTTTCCAAATTTATGGAAGATGTGCCAGTGCTGGAATGAATTTCATATCTATGGATTTTTAAAGTGAAGAATATCGGCACCTTGTTATTGATCAAAAATTTATTTAGGAACTAGCCCATTTCAGTAAGATACTAAGACCATAGCTACTCAAGAAGCCACAGCTCCACAAGCTTGCAGAATTTCTTTGGCTTACATAGAAGAATTGTGAAATAAGGTGGAACAAAAAATTTGAAAAAAGATTAACGTAATAATTTTTTACTTTAGACTATTTATGACAACCTTATTTGGGGATTAATTTCCAGTAGCTAATGAAGAAATTTAATTTGCAGAGAAAATTATAAATGAATCTAAGATCTGCTTCAGAGATTAATAAAATGAATGGTTTGAGTTCAAATTTAGAAGATCCCCATTACTATTTAGTTTTTGCATAATTGTCGTATTCTCATCTAATCAAAGATCAGACCTTCTAAAGACTTAATTCAACAACATGGCTGACCATGGCCCAAATAGAACAAAAAGCCAAAGGAAAGATAAATTCTGTCTTTACTTGACTGAGACATAAATCTGCTCCTACCCTCAGATATCTGTGCTCCTAGTTCTCTGGCTTTTGTTTTTAGACCAGGAGTTATACCGATGCTCCCCACTCCTTCAGTTCTCAGGCCTTCAAACTTGGACTGAATTACAGCACTGGCTTTCAAGTTTCTCCAGCTTGCAGATGGTAGGTCACGGAACTTCTTGGCCTCCATCATCACGTGAGCCAATTTCTATGATAACCTTCCTCCTATTTATATCTGTATTTATCTCTGTATCTATATACCTTTACATCTATATCTAGCTATGTCCTATTGTTTCTGTTTCTACAGAGAACCCTGACTCATACACACTTCCATGGCCTTGTCACTGATTTTGTTTACTACTTCTCCTCTTGTTCAGTGCAGTCCAGTAACACTGGCTTTATTACTGTTCTTTCAACGATCCAGGCATTCATTTCTCTCAGGGACTTTGCACTTGCTCCTCTTGTTCAGTAGAATACCTTTCTCCTTTATAAAAACAGATTTTTATTTTTTCTGTCCTTTCTCCAAGTTACTGTTCTCAAAAAGGCTTTCCCAACATGCCCTCCTGGTCTTTTCTTCATACTACTTAGTGCATATTGATTGACATCCTCTGCATTTTTTCTCTTTATTTTTATCTTTCTCTCTCTAAAACATAAGATTCACAAAAAAGGAGAGTCTGTGTGTGTTGTTATCCCTCAATAACAGGATCTGCCATGTAGGCAGCCTGCAAAAAATATTTCTTGAATGTATGATTTATTATTTTACTATATTTTTGATTATTATTCATCAGAATTCTTTACCAAATATTAGTTTTGTGTGCTGTAGAACTTCATGTAAATCTTTAAAACTCAGAAAATATTCTTTTGAATCTGGCTTCTTTCACTCCGCATATTTTTGATATCTGTTTACATTGTTGAATATATTAGTAGCTCACGTATATTGGTGAGTACCATTACTTTGCAGGAATATACTACATTATATCTATCCAATGTCCTGTTGAAAAAGAAGAATATTTTGTTTCTAGCTTGGGTGTACTGTGAATAAAACTTCAAGGAGCATTTAGCATGCAGTAGTCTAGTCATGTATATCCATTTATCTTGGAAAGGAAAATAACTATTGCATAAGATATTGCCAAAATTATTTCCAAAGTGGTACCACTGCACATTAGCATTTTGCATATCTAGCAACATTTAGGAGTTTGGTTGCTTCAAAACATCACCAAAATTGGTATTTTTACTTTTATTCATTTTAAAGTATATGAATCACATTGGATTATAATTTGCATTGTTAAAATAAAAAAAGAGGCTCACTTTTCATTTTCATACAATTTTTGTAAAACATATTATACGAAGAGACTACACAAGTATCCTGTACATTTTTATTGGATTGTTTGCCTTTTTATTATCAAATACTTTGAGGAGTACTTTATGTATTCTGGATGTAAGTCATTTATCAAAATATGTATTAATAGTGCTGTCTCCAAAAATGTGGCTTGCCTACACATTTTCCTAGAAATGACATTGAAAAAGCATGACTTTAATCTTATTATTTTAAGTCAAATTTATCATTCATTTCTTTTATGGTTAGTATTTTTTTGCATCTTGATTAATAACTTATTTCCTACCCCAAGGTTGCAGGATATTATTCTTCAATTTCTTCTAGAGATGTTATATTTTAGCTTTCACGTTTAGGTTTATTGCATACTTCAAATTAATTTTCATGTACATGTGAGGTATGGATTGAGATTTATCCTTCAACCCCTACCACCACCACCACCCATGGATAGTTTTTCTATTACTATTTTAAAATAATATTTTTTTCCTATAGATTTGCCTTGGCAACTTTGTTACAAACCAAATGACCAGAAATATAGGTCTATTTCTCAACTCTATTCTCTTTTGCTGTCACTTTGTTTATTCATAGATTCTTACTGCAATGTCTTGATTAATGTAACTTTATAGTAGATTAAACTCTGGTGGTGGTATTATTCATCTAGCTCCTCCTTTTTATAGATTTATTTGACTATTCATTTGAATTTGACTAATCATTCATTTAAATTTTTGTAATTAGCTTGTTAATTTTGGGAAAGAAGTGTGTTAAGGCTTTATGGGAATTATGTTAAATCTATGAAGTAATTCACAGAGATTTGACATCTTAACCAATTTAGAGTTTTTAATTCCATGAACATAGTATACACCTTCTTTACATTGGGTTTTCTATAGTATCTCTTCAGATGATTTGTAGTTTTCCATGTATAGGTTTTGCACATTCTATGTCAACTATTTTCCAATGACCAGAAATTGTTATTTTATATACATTTTCCAGTTTTATAGCAGCCTAAGTTAGAGGACTTGTCTAGACCAGTGATTCCAGTTTGGCTGAAATCAATGGTTCTTTTTTAAAAAACAATTTACATTAAAGTTAGCTTTTCACCCATTTTTTTGTTTCATTTGTATCTATATTTGTTTTACCTCTCTGTAAGACACTGACGTCTTTTATACATTACTTGCTATATTAAATACAATCCTTGTTTTCCTCTCAGTTTCTTTATAGCATATTCTATATGGAAGTAGTACCCACGTTAAAAAATGATTTAATTACTAATTTTCTAGTACTCTTATTGAGCTCCCAGAGGCAGCTGATGTTTGAGTTGATGTTTAGAGACCTGCATAGCATGTATATCTCATATACAAAACCTAAACTTCATACTAAAATGCCATAATGTGAGTCTTAATATCTGATCCTATGGACCTTAAAACTCCTTGATATAGCTATATCCATTTATTGACTTCCTATATCTATTTTTCCAAAATCAAGAGCACATACTGAGCCTGACTTGTATTTAATCCACAAAGTACATATTCAGTATGTATTCATTTAATTAAATAATTAATATTTTGTTTGATAGAAATTATTGATTAAATTACAAATCCTTATATTTCACACATTTCTTCTAATATTAGAATTCAAAATCATTAGGTATGTACTCTAGATTTCTTTTAATTGTAACATATTTTGTATAAGTTGTCAAAAGGAAATAACAGTCAGTAAGTTTCACAAGTATTGGAATAATTTTTTCCATTCTAAGGAGACAAAATACTTCCAAAATATCTATATTAATTTCACATATAAAATTCTCCTTTTTCCTCAGCAGTAGAGCTCACTAAACAACATAAAAAGAGATTAATTTGTGTACAAACAATTGGCTTTGTCTTGATAAATTTTCTAGATCAACTGATTCTATGTATAGCAATTTAAACAGCGAATTCTATGCTGTTTAAATTGACACAATTTCATATGCAGAAAATTGAAACTGGACCCCTTCCTTACACCTTGTGTAAAATTAACTCAAGATGGATTAAAGACTTAAATGTAAAACCCAAAACTATAAAAACCCTAGAAGAATATCTAGGCAATACCATTCAGGACACAGGCACGGGCAAAGATTTCATGATGAAAATGTCAAAAGCAATTGCAACAAAGGCAAAAATTGGCAAATGAGATCTAATGAAACTAAAAAGTTTATGCACAGCAAAAGAAATTATTATCAGATTGAACAGGCAACCTACAGAATGGGAGAAAATTTTTGCAATCTCTCCATCTGAAAAGGTCTAATATCCAGAATCTACAAGGAACTTAAACAAATTTACAAAAAAAAAAAAAAAAAAAAAAAAAAAAAAAACCATTAAAAAGTGGGCAAAGAACATGAACAGACACTTCTCAAAATAAGATATTTATGTGGCCAATAAACATATGAAAAAAACTCAACCTCTCTGATCATTAGAAAACTGCAAATGAAAACCACAATGAGATACCATCTCACACCTATCAGAATGGTGATTATTAAAAAGTCAAGAAACAACGAACACTGGTGAGGCTGTGGAGAAATGGGAATACTTTTACACTGTTGGTGGTAATGTAAATTAATTCAACCATTGTGGAAGACAGTGTGGCAATTCCTCAAAAACCTAGAACCAGAAAGACCATTTGACAAAGCAATCCCATTACTAGGTATATACTAAGAGGAATATAAATTATTCTACTATAAAGATACATGCACGTGTATGTTCATTGCAGCACTATTCGCAATAGCAAAGACATGGAATCAACCTAAATGCTTATCAATGATAGATTGGATTAAGAAAATATGCTACATATACACCATGGAATATTATCCAGCCATAAAAAGGAATGAGATCATGTTTTATACAGGGACATACATGGAGCTGGAAAGCCATCATCCTCCACAAACTAACACAGGATCAGAAAACCAAACGCTGCATGTTCTCACTTATAAGTGGGAGCTGAACAATGAGAACGCATGTACACAGGGAGGAGAACAATACACACTGGATCCTGTAAAGGGGGCAGAGTGAGGGAGAGCATCAGGATAAATAGTGAATGCGTGTGGGGCTTAATACCTACATGATGGGTTGATCAGTGCAGCAAACCACCATGGCACACATTTACCTATGTAACAAACCCGCATGTCATGCACATGTATCTCAGAACTTAAAATAAAATTAATTAATTAATTTTTAAATTGGCATGGTCTTTTCCTCTGAGCATTATTCTAAAATTGCCATACGAAAATTTGTTAGATCAGAAAATGTAGAGGATTGAGGTAAAGTCCAACAAAGTGAGCCAGCACTTGTTAGATTTCTTCCCCTTATTTCTTGAAAGTTTGCACAGTTGTGGCTAACTAAATATATATATATATATATATATATATATATATATATATATATATATATATGCTTGTGTTAATTGAAAAATATTTAAATAAATTAAAATATTTTCTTATTTAGAAAAATATTATATTGTCAGTGACATTGTTCATAACTGTCAAAAGTTGAAAATACAAAGGTCTTTATATAAATGCTGAGCGACAACAATGAAAGTCACAGGAAACAACACAAAGGAAATGTATTTTAAGTAATTTTTTTAAAATCTGATTTCCATATTTGTGCCTAGTTCCTGGTTTCACTCTAGTGCCCAGGCTAGAGTGCGGTGTTGAGCTCATAGCTCACTGCAGCCTTAAGTTCCTGGGCTCAAGTGATCCTCCTGCCTCAGCTTCCCAAGTATGTAGCAACACAGGCACTCACCACTACAACTGGCTAATTTTATTTTATTTTTTGTAGAGATGTAGTCTTGCTATGTTGCCCAGGCTGGTCTTGAACTCCTGGCCTTAAGCAATCCTACCTTGGCCTCCCAAAGCATTGGGATTGCAGGTATGAACCACTTTGCTCAGATTACTTTAAGTAATTTTTTTTCTAACCATTTTACCTTTACCTCATAAATTTAGTAACATCAATACTATCAGATATATAAATATGTTTTAAAATGTGGAATTATTTTGCAGCAAAACAAGGGTCATTAAGTTAAAACAGTTAGTCCTTTTTAAAAAAGGTGGTGTTGAAAACAATTACTGTGATAACAAATTTCAAGGACTACAAACACCTGGATAATATGTGACTTTCAGCAACGCTGCTGCTTCTTGTTGGTCAATGAACAATCACTTAACGGAAGGTTATCGGCAGTAGAAAATGAAATCTGTATTATCTCGACTTATTTAGTGACATTTAAAAAATAAGCCAATACGAATAGAATCACAAAGAATTAATGGGGAAGAATTAGTGTTAGAGCTTTGAAATTTTAAGCAAATGTGACAGATGTATCTCTCTCTCTTTTTCTTTCTCTTTTTTTCTCTCTCTCTGTATCAGTCTGTTTGTGCAGCTATGGCAAAATACCTGAGAGTGAGCAACTTATAAACAATAGAAATTTATTTCTCACAGTTCTGGAGGCTGAGAAGTTCAAGATGAAGGCCCTGGCACGTTTAGTATCTGGTGAGAAATTAGTCCTTGCTTCCAGGATTGTGCCTTAGTGTTTCATCGAAAGGCAGAAATGCAAAAGGGCCTAAGCTAATGTATCCAGGCCTCCTATAAGACACTAATCTATTCGGAAGGACATTACTTTCATGACTTGATCATCTCCTGGCCCCACCTCTTAATGCCACTACAATGGGGATTAAATTTCAACATGAATTTTGGAGGGGACCCATTCAAACCACAGCATTCTCTTTTTCTCTCTGCTTGCCCTTGCTCTCATTATTTCTCTCTCTCTCTCTCTATATATATATATATGTATAAATGTGTATATATATGTATATGTATATGTATATATAACAACTTACCTAAGCTGAAGTAAAAAAAAAAATTCTCTATCAATGTCCTTTAGTTCTGAGTGGATAGTACCAAGTATCTAGTCCATTGAATTTAGTTTTGCTATTTATTCTATGATCACTTCTTTGCATGTTAATGTATATTTTGAATTCTAATATCAAAGTTATGCTTTCAGTGTATTTGAAAATTTATCTGTTTTCCATATTCGTGCCTAGTTCCTAGTTATAATATCTTTAGATTGAAGCATATTCATAGAAATTGCAATGAAAAACTTAGAGTACATTTTTGCTTGTTAATTTTTTTTATGATTGAATCATGGAGATTGCTACCATTATATTTGCTTGGTTGGTGGCATTTTAAGAGAATAATGAAATATTTCTGGACAAATAGTTTATAAGACAGAGACTGCATAGAAAACCCCTACCTGATTCCTGATATTTAAAGTCAGTACAGAGATTCTTAACTTTCTATGCATGGACAACTAAGATCAACATGGAAAGTTTCACTGTCAACAAACTCTTTGAAATTTGAAGTTCTTTTATTCTAAAGAGAAAATTTGTGTTACCACATTTTCAAAGACCTGTGCCAAAAAATATCTAAGAATCACTACTCTAGTCACATGTTCTATCCTATCTTTTGAATCAAGTAGCTTACCAGCACTTTTAAATAATTTTAAATTATTCTTGTTATAATAGAAAAGTCTAAGTATTGCAAAAGACTGCTAGAAATTTTGCAGAGACTCTGCTTGTGTTACTTTGTTTTACTCTCTAAGGTAAAAGCCTGTAATTGGGCCCAACTTACCAAGTTACATGTAACCTAAATTTTGGAGCAGATTTAATTCCCTGACATATACCAGGGTACAGATAAGTAGTGTCAAAGAGTATAAACCCAGATGGCTAAATCCAGAATCATATGAGGCTTTACAGCACAAGAAACTAAATCTGGAAGCTTATTTATGTATGAACTTAATTACAAATACAAGAAATATTTAACCTAAACCACAGAATTTGATGGAAGTGCATTAATATAGGCTATGAGGTGGTTATGTAACTGAGAAACTCAACTAACAAAAAGAAAAAGAAAAAAAAGGGTGAGGTAATGACAGATATTCATTCAGTAAGTCTTCGATAACAGAATTTTTAGAAAAAAAATCCTTATTCTATTGGCTTAATAGATTGCTTTGTCAGAAGAATTTAAATGGGAGGTGAAAGAGCTACTCTTAAAAAATAGTTAGATCATAATGTAATAGTAGGATATACAACACACGGAGGTGAAACTGGAAGGCAAGGTGGGCAGAAGAAACATTATAAATATGCCTAAGGAAAAGGAACTTAATGAAAATTGGTAGTGGCTCTCTGGCCAGCATAGAAAAAGTTATTTTTTAAAAAGGAAGAGCTCGAGAGAAAGTTATGAATTCTCATGGGGAAAAAAATATTCCCTTCACTTGTCAGGATTAGAAGGACTATTTGATGCAAAGCCACAAGTTGAGAGCTGGCTAAGAAGTCCGTGATGACTTCATAGCTCATAAATTCTCAGAAGGCAGCAACTATAGCAGATCAGAGTACAAGCATGAAGCAATAGGCGGGTGGTGAAGAGACAGCTGCTCTTCCAGAATGTAATAGGATTTTCAGCCCCTTTCTAAGATCCATTGCCTCCTATGTGGGAAAAAAAGGAAAAAGAAGGATGCACTGATAAAAAATTGTCCAGTGCCAGCCTTAAGGAGTCCGGAGTCCATTTACTTTCTGGAATACTGAACAGACAGGGATAGTTAAATTTGCATCAAAGGCAGCATATAACCAGAAGGTTCCATAGGTGAGTGAGAGGATTCAGCCTTGCAAAGGCTGTGACTGCCCAGGAAACTGCTGTATCTTTCTGTGAAGTACAGTTAGTGCTTATTTTGGGTGAAAACTGGTGTTTACAGTGAGAGAGAATATTCCTGATTCTATTACAGTTGTAATATTGCTAAGTGTAGAAGCAAGTAAGAATTTGACAGATAGACATGAACATAGAAAGCTGAGAGACAGGATTTTGAAATCATAGGGCAATATAACTTGTTTTACTTTCTACCATACACCTAAACTACAGTGAGATTTTCCTGAAAGCTTTTATCCTAGAGAAGTCAATCTTCTATTTTAACTTCAAATAAAGAGCTGTAACAGATTTACCAACTGGGATTTCAACTTTAACGTTGTTGACATTTTAGTCAAGATAACTCTTCACTATAGGGATTCTCCTGTGCATACTAGTAGCAGGCTCTCCCCTCATTGTAGAAATGTTCCCTGCAGGACAAAACTGCCTTGATGAGAAACCCTGCATTATGCAAATGGAATTTGGCAATGGCTGGAGGCATTTTTGGTTGTCACAGCTGGAGGTTGGAGGTATGCCACAAATATCTAGTGAATAGAAGAGATTCTGCTAACTGAACAAAGAATTATCCAGTTAAACATGTAAATATTGCTGAGATCCAGAAACCCTACTTTAGCATAATAAAAGTAAAATCCTCTTCATTGAGAGTAGATCTTTGTGAGCAAGCACCTTTCTAAAAAAATATATAAAACAAACAAGCATACTTTGTGAGGTTTAGCAGAGTAAAATACTAAAAAATCAAAATTGGATTCTAATATTATCACCACATCAAAAACAAACCCTGAGAATATCAAACATAAAAAAAATATAGAAGATAAAATTATATGAAATAATAGAATTTTGTGAGGTCTCGCCTTAATTAAACAAGACTCACACAAAACTTTTCAAAATGATGCAGAAGGAGAAGATATGATTAGATTTTTCAAGTGTAAAGAAACCAAGGTGGAATTACTATTAGCTTCCATCTTCTTAGTGAACAGCTATAGGAAGTGTGGAGGGAAAAAATTTGAAAATGCAAATTCTTTTAAATGCTTGAAGTGAAAGGGTACAGCTTCTTCCTCATCCATTTCAGTGGCTCTGGAGAATATCTCTGGCACACTGCTCAATGTTATCTAAAGACATTACAGAGATTGAGTTTCCGGAAATGAGTTTTAAAAGTTTGGCAGAAATATTTTGCACTAATTTTGTGAAAATGTATACTGGGTGTGTGACAGCAAGGGAGTTATGGGATTCAGCCAACAGAGGACCCAGAAAACTGATGCTGCTTAAAACATCCCCTCCTCCCCTAAAGAATGTTGACCAGATTGTAGAGAACACAAACAATCCCTTTAAGCAGAGAGTAAATAGATTAAGAAAACAGCCAGATAGCCTAACATGCCATAAGTGACTTTTTTTCCTCCTTTCTCTTTCCCTTTTCTTCTCATGGTAGAAAAGACTAGAGAGGCTTGCAACACAAGCTGGAAGATCTACCACATCTTGCTGCTGCCCAAGACCGCCCCTTTATCTTTCTATGCAAGTTTTTACTGAATAAATCTTTGACCACCTACCAACCTGGAGAAGTCTGCCTCTTTGTTTGGTCTGAGCTTTCCTTCTACTTATTGGGGGCAGTTCTTGGTTGTGGCAGGGGGTTTTCCCAGCAACTGTGTAAACCAGAAGTATTAGGTTGGTGCAAAAGTAATTGTGGTTTTTGCCATTACTTTTAATACAAGGCACTAAATCAAGTGTTGAAATAAAAAACAGCCTAAATAACTGAACTTTGTTTCAGAATCTTTGGTCGATGACCTGATGAAAGTGACTAATTTTCAAACATATCATGAGAGGTCTGTTCTAAAAATTTCAGATGATCTGAGTTTTTTATTTATTTATTTTATTTTATTTTATTTTATTTTATTTTATTTTATGTTCCAGGATACATGTGCAAGACATGCAGATTTGTTACATAGGTAAATGTGTGCCATGGTGGTTGCTGCACTTATCAACCCATCCCCTAGGTAAGCCCCCATGCGTTAGCTATTTATCCTCATGTCTTCCTCTCCCCACAACCCCTGAGTTTTTAACTCAACTGTCAGACACTCTCTAGCTAAATATCTTCAGCAGGTTAGTCACCTTATCTGAACCACAATTCTCAAATCTGCAAAACAGTGATATAAAAACATGCCCTCCCTACTGAAATATAATTTTATTTAAACAAAATATGTAAATACAGTTGTTCCTTTGTATTTATAAGGGATTGGTTCCAAGACTCCCTCAGATAACAAAATCCTAGGATGCTCAAGTCCCTCATATAAAATGGCATAGTATGTATTTCATGCGTGTCTGTGTGAAGAGACCACCAAACAGGCTTTGTGTGAGCAACATGGCTGTTTATTTCACCTGGGTGCAGGCGGGCTGAGTCTGAAAAGAGAGTCAGCAAAGGGAGATAGGGGTGGGGCCGTTTTATAGGATTTGGGAAGGTAATGGAAAATTACAGTCAAAGGGGGTTGTTTTCTGGTGGGCAGGGGTGGGGGTCACAAGGTGCTCAGTGGGGGAGCTTCTGAGTCAGGAGAAGGAAATTCACAGGGTTAATCACTCAGTTAAGGTGGGGCAGGAACAAATCACAATGGTGGAATGTCATCAGTTAAGGCGGGGCAGGGCCTTTTCACTTCTTTTGTGATTCTTCAGTTACTTCAGGCCATCTGGGCTTATACATGCAAGTCACAGGTGATGTGATGGCTTGGCTTGGGCTCAGAGGCCTGACATTCCTGACTTCTTATATTAATAAGAAAAATAAAACAAAATAGTGTTGAAGTGTTGGGGCAGTGAAAATTTTGGGGGGTGGTATGGAGAGAGAATGGGCAATGTTTCTCAGGGCTGCTTCGAGTGGGATTAGGGGCGGCGTGGGAACCTAGAGTGGGAGAGATTAAGCTGAAGGAAGATTTTGTGGTAAGGGGTGATATTGTGGGGTTGTTAGAAGAAACATGTGTTGTATAGAATGATTGATGATGGCCTGGATACGGTTTTGTATGAATTGAAAAACTAAATGGAATAAGAGAAGGAGAAAAACAGGTATAAAAGGTCTAAGAATTGGGAGGACCTAGGGCATCTGATTAGAGAGTGCCTAAGGAGATTCAGCATAGTCCTGCCAGCAAAGATTATTTATTTACTTCAAGAGTTTAGAGTGGCAGTTTGGGGATAGCACCAGGAGATATCAGCAGCTGTGATGGCTTGGAGAAACAGTGTAAACCTGCAGTGTAAACAAGAGCAGGGCATGTATGAGTAGTTGAGAATGGTGAATAAGAGTATGACTAGACAAAAGATAGTAGGGATGACAAGTTTTTTTGGGGCACAGTCTAAGTTGGTCTGGTGTCAAATGAGACTGGGGCCTAATAAAAAGGAGCATCTATACAGGAGCTTAAATGGGCTGTACCTTGTAGCATTCTGAGGACAGGCCTGAATTCTGAGAAGCGAAAGTGGTAAAAGTATTGTCCAGTCCTTTTTAAGTTGGTGGCTGAGCTTGGTGAGGTGTGTTTTTAAAAGACCTTTAGTCCGTTCTACTTTTCTTGAAGACGGAGGACCGTAAGGGATATAAAGGTTTCACTGAATACTAAGAGCCTGAAAAACTGCTTGACTAATAAAGGCGGTCTGTTATCAGACTGTATAGAGGTGGGAAGGCTAAACTGAGGAATTATGTTTGACAGGAGGGAAGAAATGACTGTGGTGGCCTTCTTAGACCCTGTAGGAAAGGCCTTTACTTATTCAGTGAAAGTGTCTATTTAGACTAAGAGGTATTTTAGTTTCCTGACTCGGGGCATGTTGAGTAAAGCTAATTTGCCAGTCCTGGGTGGGGCAAATCCTCGAGCTTGATGTGTAGGGAAGGGAGGGGGCCTGAATAATCCCTGAGGAGTAGTAGAATAGCAGATGGAACACTGAGAAGTTATTTCCTTGAGGATAGATTTCCACGATGGAAAGGAAATGAGAGGTTCTGAGAGGCGGGCTAGTGGCTTGTACTATAGCATAGCCTGCCTTTGCTGGTGTGTGGCGATTAGGCCTGGTGGAACTGCCATCAATAAATCAAGCGTGATCAGGGTTGAGGAACAGGAAAGAAGGAAATATGGGGAAATGGGGTGAATATCAGGTGGATCAGAGAGATACAGTCATGGGCATCAGGTGTGGTATCAGGAATAATGTGAGAGGCCAGATTGAAGTCCAGGCCAGGAACAATGGTAATTGTGGGACTTAAAGCATGAGTACAGCTGAAGGAGCCGGGGAGCAGAAAGTATGTGTCAGGTATGAGGAAGAAAATAGATTTTGGAAGTTATGAGAAATGTAGAGAGTGAGTTGAGCATAGTTTGTGATTTTTAGGGCCTCTAACAGTATTAAAGCAGCAGCAGCTGCTGCACGCAGACATGAGGGCTAGGCTAAAACAGTAAGGTCAAGTTGTTTGGACAGAAAGGCTACATGGTGTGCTCCTGGCTCTTGTGTAAGAATTCTGACCACACTAACCATGCCTAGGAAGGAAAGGAGTTGTTCTTTTATAAGGGATTGAGGTTTGGGAGATTAATCGGACACGATCAGCAGGGAGAGCACATGTGTTTTTATGAGAATTATGCTGAGATAGGTAACGGATGAGGATGAAATTTGGGCTTGACTGAAGTAATAGGGGCTGTCTGTGAAGCCTTGCGGCAGTACAGCCCAGGTAATTTGCTGAGCCTAATGGGTGTCAGGGTCAGTCTAAGTAAAGGCAAAGAGAGGCTGGGATGAAGGGTGCAGAGGAATAGTAAAGAAAGCATGTTTGAGATCCAGAACAGAATAATGGGTAGTAGAGGGAGGTATTGAGGATAGGAGAGTATATGGGTTTGGCACCATGGGGTGGCTAGGCAAAACAATTTGGTTGATAAGGCGCAGATCCTGAACTAACTTGTAAGGCTTCTCTGGTTTTAGGACAGGTAAAATGGGGGAATTGTAAGGAGAGTTTATAGGTTTTAAAAGGCCATGCTGTAGCAGGCAAATGATAACAGGCTTTAATCTTTTTAAAGCATGCTGCGGGATGGGATATTGGCGTTGAGTGGGGTAAGGGTGATTAGGTTTTAATGAGATGGTAAGGGGTGCATGATCGGTCACCAAGGAGGGAGTAGAGGTATCTTATACTTGTGGGTTAAGGTGGGGGGATACAAGAGGAGGACGCAAAGGAGGCTTTGGACTGGGAAGAAGGGTGGCAATGAGATATAGCTGTAGTCCAGGAATAGTCAGGGAAGCAGATAATTTAGTTAAAGTGTCTCAGCCTAATAAGGGAACTGGGCAGGTGGGGATAACTAAAAAGGATTGCTTAAAAGAGTATTGTCTAAGTTGGCACCAGAGTTGGGGAGTTTTAAGAGGTTTAGAAGCCTGGCCATCAATACACATAACAGTTATGGAGGCAAGGGAAACAGGCCCTTGAAAAGAAGGTAATGTGGAGTGGGTAGCCTCCGTATTGATTAAGAAGAGGACAGGCTTACCTTCCACTGTGAGAGTTACCCGAAGCTCGGCGTCCGTGATGGTCTAGGGGGCTCACGAGGCGATCGGGCAGTGTCAGTCTTCAGCTGCTAAGCCGAGAAGATCTGGGAAGGAGTCAGTCAGAGGGCCTTGGGCCATTGTTCCAGGGGCTCTGGGAGTGGCTGCCAGGTGAGTTGAACAGTCCAATTTTCAGTGGGGTCCCACACAGATGGGACGCGGCTTAGGAGGAATCCTGGGCTGCGGGCATTCCTTGGCTCAGTGGCCAGCTTTCCGGCACGTGTAGCAAGCTCTTGGGGGAGGAGGTTCTGGAGGAACGCCTGGCTGCTGCGGATCAGGCGTTTGGAAGTTCTTGTGTGCTGGAGATTTGGCTGGGGTTTGTCTCACAGTGGAGGCCAGGAATTGCAACTTTTTTCTGTTATTGTACACCTTGAAGGTGAGGTTAATTAAGTCCTGTTGTGGGGTTTGAGGGCCAGATTCCAATTTTTGGAGTTTTATTTAATGTCAGGAGCAGATTGGGTAATAAAATGTATATTGAGAATAAGACGGCCTTTTGACATTTTAGGGTCTAGGGCTGTAAAGCGTCTCAGGGTTGCTGCCAAACGAGCCATGAACTGGGCTGGATTTTTATATTTGATGAAAAAGAGCCTAAACGCTTCTGATTTGGGATAAAGAAAAAGGAGCATTAACCTTGACTAAGCCTTTGGCTCCAGCCACCTTTTTAAGAGGAAATTGCTGGGCAGGTGGAGGAGGGCTAGTCACGGAACGAAACTGTAAGTCGGACCAGGTGTGAGGAGGGGAGGTGATAAAAAGATTATAGGGTGGAGGAGCAGAGGCTGAGGAAGAATTGGGACCTAGCTTCGCCTGGCGAGGAGCAGCCTGGGGAGGAAGGGAGAGGTCAGATGGGTCTGTAGAAAAGGAAGATTAGAAAGACTCAGTGACGCTTGGCGTTGGTACTGAGGGGACAGGCAGGAGGGAAAGAAGGAAGATTTGGGACGAGTCGCACTGGGCACAGAGACTAGGAAGGGACTGATGTGTAAAAGAATCTGGACGTCAGGCACCTCAGACTGTTTGCCTATTTTATGACAAGAATTATTTAGATTTTGCAGGATGGAAAAATTCAAAGTGTCATTTTCTGGCTATTTGGAACTACTGTCAAGTTTGTATTGGGGTCAAGCGGCATTGCAGAAGAAAATCAGGCATTTAGGTTTTAGGTCAGGTGTGAGTTGAAGAGGTTTTAAATTTTTGAGAACACAGGCCAAGGGAGTAGAAGGAGGAATGGAGGGTGGAAGTTTGCTCATAGTGAAAGAAGCAAGCCTAGAGAAAAGAGAGAGTAGAGAAATGGAGAGAAGGGGTTCGGGGGTTCTTACCTTCCAGAAAAGTGGGAAAAGGGGTTGGGGCACAGAGATAAGAGGTCGGGGTGTGGAAATAAGGGATTGGGGCACAGAGATATAAGAGGTTGGGGAGCGGAAATAAGGGATTGGGGTGCAGAGATACGAGGTTGGGGCATGGAAATAAGAGATTGGGACACAGAGATAAGAGGTCGGGTTGCGGAAATAACGGATTGGGGCACAGAGATAAGAGGTTGGGGTGTGGAAATAAGTGATTGGGGCACAGAGATAAGAGGTTGGGGTGCAGAAACAAGGGATTGGGGGTTCTTGCCCCATAGAAAAGCGGGACTTGCCGCTAAGGGTGAAGGAGAAGGGGTTGAGGGGTACTTGCCCCTCTCCCAGAAAAGCAGAGAAGGAGGAGAGACAAAGAGAAGGGGTTGAGGTACTTGCCCCTTCCCCAGAAAAGCGGGACTTGCCGCTAAGGGTGAAGGACCAAGGCAGGCGTCCCTGCATGGTCTGACACCCTTGAAACGCGGGTGTATAATCAGAGAGGCATCCCTGCAATGATTAAACACCAAGGGAAGGCTGCCTTCCCAGTCCGTGACCGGCGCCGGAGTTTTGGGTCCACAGATAAAATGTGTCTCCTTTGTCTCTCCCAGAAAATGAAAGGAATTGAAATTAAGAGAAGGGAGAGATTGAAGAGTGGAAAGGAGAAAGTGGTTGAGGGACAGTGAGAGAGGTTGGAGAAGAGAGTAAGAAGAGGCCGCTTACCCAATTTAAAATTGGTGAGATGTTCCTTACGCTGGTGGGTCTGAGGACCCGAGGTCATAGGTGGGTCTTTTTCACGGAGCAAAGAGCAGGAGGACAGGGGATTGATCTCCCAAGGGAGGTCCCCCGATCTGAGTCACGGCACCAAATTTCATATGTATCCGTGTGAAAAGACCACCAAACAGGCTTTGTGTGAGCAACATGGCTGTTTATTTCACCTGGGAGCAGGCGGGCTGAGTCCGAAAAGAGAGTCAGGGAAGGGGAGATAGGGGTGGGGCCGTTTTATAGGATTTGGGAAGGTAATGGAAAATTACAGTCAAAGGGGATTGTTTTCTGGTGGGCAGGGGTGGGGGTCACAAGGTGCTCAGTGGGGGAGCTTCTGAGTCAGGAGAAGGAAATTCACAGGGTTAATCACTCAGTTAAGGTGGGGCAGGAACAAATCACAATGGTGGAATGTCATCAGTTAAGGCGGGGCAGGGCCTTTTCACTTCTTTTGTGATTCTTCAGTTACTTCAGGCCATCTGGGCTTATACATGCAAGTCACAGGTGATGCGATGGCTTGGCTTGGGCTCAGAGGCCTGACAATGTACATATAACCTACACAATTTCCCCTGCACAATTTAAATCAACCCTAAATTACTTAAAATACATAATGTAATATAAATTCTATGTAAGTAGTTGTTATATTCTATTACATTACAACAAAATATTTTTGCTATATTTTGCAAAAAAAATCAATTTCATAATTTTAGGGATAAATTTTAAGAAAATTTTAGCCTAAATAATTAATTAAATAAATGTATAAATGTAATGTCATAAGTTACATTTTTACATAGCTTGTTCCTGGATGGAACATATACAAAATGTCAATTTACGTGCTCCCTTTTTCTATTAAAATTCTGCAGGCAAATTTTGTTTTTCTAGTGTCATTTCATTCACTAAGCCTGAAGAAAGTATTTCACCTGTGCCTAAGCACTATCTTAGACCTGATGTACTTTCGTTGTGGGCCTGTTTCTCCCACATTTTCACTATTGTACAGGATTAGCTCATGTTAGAGAATTCCTTATATAACATCTAACATTTAAAACAATCTTATCTTGAATATTCTTCAGTATTCCTCATGTAGGAGACCCATTGAAAGGGATTGCAATTTACATTTTGTTAACACCAAGTTTCATTTGCATTTCTACTCCTTAGCCCAATTTTTCTTGCTATATTCACTCTACCTAGCATCTCCACATATACTGTCTTATATCCTACAATTGTCAGTAAACATTGACCAACTGATATCGTACTACTATGAAAAGAATTGTATTAGCCCATTCTCACGCTGCTATTCATAATAAAGACATACCCAAGACTGAATAATTTATAAAGGAAAGAGGTGTAATTGACTCACAGCTCAACATGGCTGGAGAGGCCTCAGGAAACTTACAATCACAGGGGAAGAGAAAGCAAACATGTCCTTCTTCACATGGTAGCAGTAAGGAGAAGTGTGGAGCAAAAGGGGGAAAACCATCGTAGCTCATGAGAACTCACTCACTATCATGAGAACAGCATGAGGGTAAACACTCCCATGATTAAATTAACTCCCACCAGGTCCCTCTCATGACACATGAGAATTATGGAAACTACAGTTCAAGATGAAATTTGGGTAGGAACACAGCCAAACCATATCAAGAGTCTAAAAGTTGCTCAATTTATGATAAATTATTAATATAGTCCTGAAGTTAGCCTCATGAGTAAAACTACACACTGACCACTGCAAAGGAAAATAATTTGAACAACTTAGTCCTAAGTAAATAGAAGTAAGTAGGATACAGTTTGTATTAAAATGATTTTATGATTATATCACTACTGGTTAAAAATTAATGCAGGGTCTTATACAATTTCAAAGTTTCAAATTACTCTACAGGTTATATATTTTAGGAGCTTAAGGGCTGAACATTGTTAAATGAAATATACATGACTTCAAAAAAATGTAAGAATACAATTGCTTCTTTGCAGCCTCTTTTCCTAATCTCTGAGTATATTTCTTTTCCTTAAAAGGTCTTATTTAAAGAAATCGGTTCAAAATACAATAGAACTTAAAACATATCTTAAAGATCAAATAATTCTTCCAGTTATTTTATAGATGACAAAAATGATGCCCAGCTAGCTCCAAATCAAGGGTTAAACCTATCTTCTAACTTTGTCTATGGCATTTTTTTTTTCCATTTTATTATCCTGTTTTCTTTGTCTTTGGTGACAATATGTTAATTGATTCTTTTTAAGTATTTATGACTGAAAACTATCTTGAAAACAGGAGCTTAATTGGTAGTACCACAAATAAATTCTTGGGCAATATTTTATGAAATAGCAACCATGATTATATGTGACCTTAACTTCCACAGACTTTTGCCCCTTTCCCAAAGTCATATTCAGATTCCATGTCCACATATTAATTAAAGTGGATTTTACATAAACCTTGCTGGTTGTTGCAGGTTTCTTCTTGTTTCCCCGACTTTGATATGCTTATTTTACATAATGTTATCTAACGCCACTAGTAAGAAAATGAAAAAAGATAAAAAGTAAATAAATCTCCTCGAAGAACTAGGGAGATTCTTTGTAGAAAGGCAGCTTGCTTTCTTCTGAGTAAGACTGGGAGGAAACAGAACCTGATAAAGCTTACATTAAATGAGGTACAGACAATGATTCTCAGCTGTGACTGGGCAAGAGAGCAATGTAGAAAATAGGAATTTGTCGCTAGACAAACTAATCGCTAAACCCCAAGGCTCTTACTTTGTGTAGGATAGGCTAAAAGAGATTTGAAGAAGATAACAGCCTGGCATTGTGATACATGTGTTATAAATAGAAGGATAATTATGGGAGAGAGAAAACTCCTGAACCAATAGAACAATGCAAAAGACCACACTGTGAAAAATCAGTGATTGATATCTTTGGTTAAATTTGAAGTAAAATAAAACCTCAGAATATTAGATGAGGGAGAGGGATTTTGTTTAAAGAGCCAAAGACTGTACTTTATAATGCTTTTGATTAAAACTATTTGCCATCAGTTGAAGAAGGGTAGTGGCAATGGGAAAGCTGACAGATTGTCAAAGATTGTATTTTCTCATTAAAGGATGTTCGCCAAACGTACTGCGGAGTAACCTGGGAGATATTATCTTTGGCAAAAGCACCAATTATTTGAGGATTGTGCAGTTACTGGTTTAGATTTTCTTTTTAAAGAGGGGAGAAATATAAAGATGAGAGTAACATAAAGATGAGAGTAATTCATAGTTTATTTTGGGGATCTGGGGTTATTATCATGATTTGTGGTGAACGGGTTTTAAGGGGGCCTGCATAATATTCTCCTCTTCATGTTTACATGCTTGTACAGTACCCTCACCTTTAGTGTGAGTGAAATCTGTGAAATGCTTCTAATCAATAAAATACTACAGAGATGATAAAATGTGGATCTTTTAAGCACATTACATTATAGAAGATTTCATCTTGGAAGACTTACTGAATCCCCTTCTGGTTCTGAAGAGGCCATGTTGTAAGAGGGCCTATAGAGAGGTTCACATGGCAAGTAAATGTGTATGGTCTCTAGAAACTAAGATGACCTATGCCTGGTAGCCAGCAAGAAACCAGGGACTTCAGTAATACTACCATAAGAAAATGAACTCAGTCATCAATCTTAGTGAGCTTGGAAGTAGACCCATTGCCAGTCAAACCTCCTGGTGAGAGTAAGCCCTGGCCAGTATCTTGATTCCAGTCTTGCAGAGGACCCAGTTAAGCTATCCCTAGACTCCTAGTTCAGCCAAACTGTGAGATAAAGATGTGTGTTATTTTAAGATACTAACTGTGGGGTAAATTGTTACTTAGCATAAAATTTAGTATATTGTAAAAGAACAATGGGAGAGAATGGACAGTTTCTTAGGTCTGCAAAATGGGAATTATTACAAATTGAACTATGCTAAGTGTATGCTTATTAATAATTCTGCAAAGTGATCTTAAAAGATAAATTATTTGTATTTTATTAATAAGTATACTGATACATAGAGATATTAATAAGCTTACCTAACTCATCTAAAATTAATAAAGGACTGCCAAATAATATTTATCCTATCAGTGCCATGTCCTGCCTAATGTTTTCACAGCATGGACCTTTATAACTGGAATACCCATTCTTCCACTCATAGCCACCACTGCCCCAGGCCAGTTCCCATAACACCATGATCCAGGCCATTCTCTGAAGATTCAGGCTTCAGGTCAGCCATAGCCTTAGACCAGCCCCAACAGACCTAGTCTCCAGAGTGGCCCCTGGGTACGCAGGCTCCAGGTCTTCCCTCGTGCCAGGCCAGCTCAAGGCTCACTCTAGTCTGGCCTTTGTGGTCCTATGCTCCAATCCCAACTAAGTGCCAGAATGGACCCCAGAGACCCAGCCTCCAAACCTGCTCCAGCTCTAGGCTGGCCCTCAGGGACCCAGGCTCTAAACCAGCTATATTAGGGTTCTGCAGAGGGACAGAACTAATAGGATATATGTGTACATCAAAGGGAGTTCATTAAGGAGAATTGGCTCACAGGATCACAAGGTGAAGTCCCATCATAGGTCACCTGCAAGCTGAGAAAGGAAGAAGCTAGTAGTGGCGCAGTCTGAGTCCAAAAGCCTCAAAAGCAGAGAAGCTGACAGCACAGCCTGAGGTCTGTGGCCAAAGTCCAAAAAGCCCCCAGCAAAACACTGATGTAAGTCCAAGAGTCCAAAGGATGAAGAATCTGGATTCTGATGTCCAAGGGCAGGATGAATGGATGGAAGTATCCAGCACAGAAGACAAATGAAAGCCAGAAGACTCAACAAGCCAGTTTATCCCAAATTCTTCCACCTGCTTTGTTCTAGCCATGCTGACAGCAGATTGGATGGTGTCCATTCACATTGAGGATGGGTCTTCCTCTCCCAGTCCACTGATTCAAATATTAACCTCATTTGGAAACACCTTCAGTCACACCCAGAAACAATACTTTACCAGCTATCTAGACATCCTTCAATCCAATCAAGCTGAAATCTACTATTAACCATCACAAGTCCACCCCTAGTCAACTTGAACCCATACACATCGCCTGAAATCATACTTAATCTCCAAATGAAGACAATAGTAAGGTCATAATTATACCTAACATAATACAATTATCCTTCATACAACCGGAAGCTGAGTAATTATTAACCTAAACCCTATTATTACACAAAGTTAACAACACTTAAGTGCTTACATGAAGTCAATAAATCTTATGTCACACAATAAAGGAAAAAGAAAAGAAAATGATGATATTTTCTTAGTTCAAGTGCATACATGCACAAACATATTCTTAACAAAATAAAGAGGAAATATTCATGATAATTACAGTCCTCATTTCTGGAAGATCACATGGTCCTAGCTGGCA
Organism: Homo sapiens; assembly: GCF_000001405.40. Classification (NCBI taxonomy): domain Eukaryota; kingdom Metazoa; phylum Chordata; class Mammalia; order Primates; family Hominidae; genus Homo; species Homo sapiens. Next base: position 104,450,613 of record NC_000003.12, read on the forward strand.
TTGATAACTACCTTCTTCTATTACCCATTCTGTATTCCTTTGGCCTTCAGCAAGCACTTTGGCTAGTCAAAGATTTTCACCTGGTGGAGTGACCCAAACCTTCATTCCTGAAGGGTCTGGGACATTTGTAGTTTTGCCTGGATTGAGTTGTAGTTTCCCATTGACCTTAATCACAGGGCATGGTAACACTAAGAGATGCCCTAAGGGATCGCCTGTATTCAACACGTACTCCTCCTTACCTTTGTTGTGGAGTGGTAGACTGATTTCATCTTGATAATCTGGGTAAATCACCCCAGCCAACACTGTAACTCCCTTCTTAGCCTGTTGACTTAGAGGCAGCAGGAGCCCAAAGTGGCCAGGTGGCAATCTTAACTTCCAGCTTAATGGAATCATTGTGTGTCCTGGTGGCAGTATTTCTCTCTCTGAACATTGTCTCTGTTTGCAGATGACAGATTTTATATATATATATATATATATATATATATCTCCTAAAAAACACCACTGACATTTGTTAAAAATGATAATTTAGTAAAATTGCAGGATAAAAAATCAACATGCAAAAGTCAGCTGCATTTCTATACACGAATGATGAATTATCTGAAGAAGAAATCAATAAAACAATCCCATTTACAATAGCTATAAAGATGGAATAAGATACTTAGGATAAATTTAACCAATGAGTTGAAGGATCTATACACTGACAACTAAAAGACAATGATGAAAGAAATTAAAGAAGACAAAAATACATGAAAAAAAATCCAGTTTTCATGGATTAGAAGAATTAATAATGTTAAAATGTCAATGACCAAAGTAATCTACAGATTCAATGCAATCTCTTTCAAAATTCCAATATCATTTTTTACTAAAATAGCAAAAACAATCCTGAAATTCATATGGAACTATAAAAGACCTCAAGTAGTCAAAGCTGGAGGCCTCACACTACCTGATTTCAAAATATACGACAAAATGAAAGCACTCAAGACATTATGGTAGTGGCATTACAACAGACAGGTAGTCCAATGGAACAGAAGACAGTCCATGCATTTATAATCAATCGATTTTATACAAAAGTGCCAAGAACACACAATGGAAAAATGACATTTTCTTCAATAAATGTTGTAGGAAAAACTAGATATCCACATACAAATGAATAAAATTGAACTCTCATGTCACACCACATACAAAAATGAACCCAAAATGAATTAAATACTTACACATGAGATGTGAAATTACAACAGAAAAAAAAAGTGGAAAAAAGCTTCTTGACATTTGTCTGGACAATGATATTTTCTACATGTAACCACTAATACACAGGCAGAAAAATTCCCAAAATAGACAAATGGAATTACGTCAAGCTAAAAAGCTCCTGAACAGCAAAGGAAACAATCAACAGACTGAAGAGACAATTTTTGGAATGGGAAATAATACTTGCAATACATATACCTAAGAAGAGGTAATAGCCAAAATTTATAAGGAGTTCAAACATTTCAATAGCAAAAAAATAAATAAATAATATTATTTATAAATGGACAAAAGCTGGATGGCAGCATCTCATGCCTGTAGTCCCAATGCTTTGGCAGGCCAAAGCAGGAGGATCACTTGAGGCCAGGAGTCCAAGACCACCTGGGGCAACATACTAAGACTCCTGTCTCTATAAAAAAATGAAAACAAAAAACAAATTAGCTGACATGGTGGTGCACACCTACAGTCCTAGCTATTTGGGAAGCAAAGGCAGGAGGATTGTTTGAGCCTAGCTCAATGTTACAGTAATCTATGAACACATATAAATGGCCAATAAGTATATGAGAAACCACTCATTCACATCACTAATTATTAGGGAAATGCGAATTAAAACCAGAATGAGATGTGTCACCTCACTTCTGTTACAATAGGCATTATCAAAAAGATACACTATAACTGTTGGCAAGGATGAAGAGAAAAGAAAATTCTGTATTCTATTGGCAGGAATATAAAAAAGATAAAAAATGTACTGAAAAGGATTATAATCCTGTGGGATAAGGCAGGTGAAAGGGTCACCAAACTTTAATCCAATCTGAAGAACACATATTTTCAAAATTTAAAAATAAACAAAATCTCAATGAGCTACGGAAAAATATCTAACAGTCTATCTGACACACTTAACATCGAAAGTTGCAAGAAGAGAAGCATAAAAACTGGACAAAACAAAAAGACCAAATAAAATAAACAGTGAAAGACCAAATATTTTTATTACAATTTGTTGAAACATGATAAAAGGGGCCCAGTGCAGTGACTCATACCTGTAATTCCAGCACTTTGGCAGGCAGATCACTTGAGGTAGGAGTTCTAGACCAGCCTGGCCAACATGGTGAAACCCCATCTCTACTACAAATACAAAAAATAAAAATACAAATAAAACAAAAAAATTAGCCCGGCATGGTGGCCCACTCCTGTAGTCCTAGCTACTCGGGAGGCTGAGGAATGAGAATTGCTTGAACCCAGGAACCAGAGGCTGCAGTGAGCCGAGATTGCATCACTGCACTCCAACTTAAGGGACAGAGTGAGACTGTGTCTTAAAGAAAGAAACATGAAAAATAATAAAAGGTACAGATTCAAGAAACTCAATGAATCTCAAACTGCCAAATACATAGATTTCACAATGAGGCACAAGTAGTTGTATTACTAAAATAGTCAATTACTGAACATGAAAAAAATGGAGGGGATCTTGAAAATAACTAGACAGAAAATTATGATAATATAAACTACAAGGAACTTCTACTGGGAACAAGGATGGCCAGAACATAATGAAATTACATCTTTAAAAGGCTAAGAGAAAAAATAGAAACTGTCAACTCAGAACTTTATACTTAAAAAAAATCTTTTGCCAAAAATTCTTCTACAATTAGCATTGAAGGATGTTCTTTGTTCTGTCAAAATTGACAACATATTGAAAATAGTATCTACAAGAAGACATTGGTGACACTGAAATAGTAAATATGTAGGTGAATACAGAAGATGATAAATTGATTCTGTTAATTCTGTTGAAAGACTGATGACAACATAAAGCAAACATTATAACAATGTATTATTATATTAATGCCAAAAGCACAGACTTTAAGGGAGTTGAATTGAAATAAAAAGTTATATGTTTGTTATATCTTGCATAATACACAAAATATTTTCTAAATAGGCTATGATAGAGACTCACAATATAAGACGTCAGAAACAAAATAATAAGATAAAATGAAAAAAGATATACCTAAAAGGCTAAGTGATTCATACAAAACAATACAAAAGTCAAATAATTTTAAAGAGAAAGTAAAGAAAAAAGTTTTTTTAAAAAATCAATCAAAATAGATGAGAAATAGAAGATTTCTAATAACATGATAGAGTTAAGTTTAATCATTTTGAAATTGCATAAACTGTAATCAATGAACACTAACACTTAAGAACAAAGATATTCAAACTGAGTTTTTTTAAAAAATGAACAAATTAAAGGCCTGTAAGACATGCATTTTAAATAAAAGTTAAAATAGATTAAAAGGATGATGAAGTAGATTTCATAATAGCAAAAGTATATGAAAATGAAAGTGGCTATATTAATATCAGGCAAAACAGCTTTTAGGTCAAGAAGAATTACTGACACGAAATACTGACAATGAGGTATCTTACTTACGATTAAAGTCTAAATTCATCAAAAAGACATAATCATAAATGTGTATATAACCAATAATAAAGTTGCAAAAGATATGATGCATTTAATTCTGTTAAAGGAGAAAAAGACAAATCAACGATGATAGTTGGATTATTAAATACTTTTCTCTACAAAGTTGATAGCTACTAAAGAAAAAAGAAAAGATATAAAAAAATGGACAACGTCAATCTCCTTGACGAAGTTGACATTTAGAACATTAAAGTCACTAAGAATAACCATTTTTTCCAGTATATATGGAATATACACCAAAAAAGACCTTATCCTGGACCATAGATACATTTTAACAAATTCCCAAAGATTTATATTTTCAGAGACTGTTTTCTGAATAATAATAATAAATTAGAAGTAAAAAAAATTGGAAAATTCCTAATTATTTGGAACTTAAACATCATGTTTGTAAATATCCCTGAGTGAAAATAGGTCTAACAAAAAATCTACTAAAATAAGTCTAATAAATAAATTTAGAACATATTTTGAATTAACTGATAATGAGAATATACCAGTGATAATTTGAGATGAAACCAAAGCAGTTCTTAGAAAAAAATTAATAACTTTAAAAATCCTGGCAAGTCAGAGTGGCTCATGCCTGTAATCCCAATGCTTTAGGAGGCTGAGATGGGAGGATTGCTTGAGCCCAGGAGTTTGAGACCAGCCTGGGCTATATGGTGAGACCCTGTCTTTATGAAAAATTTAAAAAATTAAAAAATTGCCCAGACATGGTGGTGCACAACTGTAGTCCATGCTACTCAGGAGGCTGAGGTGGGAAGATCTCTTGAGCTCAGGAGGTAGAGAATACAATGAGCCATCATTGTGCCACTGTACTCCAGCCTGGATGACAGAGTGAGACCATGTCTCAAAACAAAAACAAAAACAAAAAAAACAAAATAAAAATCCTTAGAGAAAACAAACTTAAAAATTAGTGATCTGATTTTCCACCACGTGAATCTAGAAAAATGTCAAAATAAGCTTGAAAAAATAGAAAGGATATAATGCAATAAAAGCAGAAATTAATGAAAAAGAAAACAAAAAATATAAAAAATCATCAAAGTTCTACATTTCCCTTATCAGAGATTTATAAACCAATGATACCCTACTTAGATGATCAACAAAAAAGGAATAAAGAACACACATTAATATTAGGAATAAAAGATGGAACATTCAACAGATATTAAAAGGATAAAAGGAAAATGTCAAATAATTTTATGACAATAAGTTCAGCAAATTAGATAAAATGAAGAATTTCTTTGGGGAACAACTCACTAAAACTTATATTAAAAGTAGTAGTATATCTTAATAGCCCTACATTTATTAAATAATTAATTGTTAAAAAGTTCACCAAAGAGAAAATTCAAGACCCAGATGATTTTGCTGGTGAATTTCATCCTATATTTAAATACAAAATTTTATAATTCTTACACAAAATAGATGAGGAGGAGATAGATTTCACTTATTTTATGAGACACCAACAGCTAACAAGTACATTATAAGAATGTCCTGAATCATACTCTTAATGATTAGAGACACAACATCATTTTAAAACTAGTTAATAAAGGCTGGGCTCATGCCTGTAATCCTAGCACTTTGCAAGGCTGAGGTAGAAGGATCACTTGAGCGCAGAAGTTCGGGATCAGCCTGAGTGAAACAGTGAGACCCTGTCTCTACAAAAAATGTAAAAGCCAGATGTGCTGGCATGTGCCTATAGTCCCAACTACCAGGGAGACTGAGAGGGGAGGATTGCTTGGGCCAAGGAGGTCGAGCCTGCAGCGAGCTGTGATCACACCACAGCACTTCAAACTGGGCAATAGAAAGAGATCCTGCCTAAAAAAAAATTAATCAAATACAGAGCTATCTTTTAAAAAGACAATATATCATAAATGCAAAAGTTGTTTATTGTTTTTAAAAAATTAATGCAATTTATTGTGTTAGCCATAGAAAGTAGAAAAATATTTGATTATCTCAATACATAAATAAAAAGTACTTGCAAGAGAGACTTGAGGGAATAAGGCCTGAAGAACTGGGTGTCTCTGCACAGTATCCATTATAGTCTTTCAGGTGCACTGCAGAGATTCACTTGCTTAGCACAAACTCTAGGAGCATCTGGTCTTGATGCCACAAATTATATGGATTCTCTCCTTTGTCTGTTATTCATTCTAGATTCCTTTTACTCTCAACTAGTGTCTCTATATTGATACTAAAGGTTTACCTGCTAGAGTAACCCAGAGTCTTGTCCTGAAGTAGTCCAAATTCCTGGTCACCATGCTCTGACTGGATTGTGGCAGCTGCATTTAATCTGTTCGCCATCAAATCTGGGAAAGGGATATAATCGTGTTTTCAATTAGCTTACCTGGATGACAAATATATTCCTGCCTTATCTTCTTTATAACAGCAGAACTACTTCCTTCACATGAACAGGGTAATTTATATTTGCCAGGATAGTGACTCCTTTACTTCTTCCCCCTTGACATGCAGAGGCCAAAGTGTTCAGGCAGTAGGCCTAGTTCTATAGCTGTCCCCATAAGAGGGATCATGTAGTATTTGTCTTTCTGTGACTGACTTATTTCTGTTAGCATAATGTCTTTCATGTCCATCTATGTTGCCATATATGGTAGGATTTCAACTAAAATAGTCAAAGGTAGAGGACAGAATGATGGTTAGCAAGGGATGGAGAGGGGAAGGTATGAGGAATCATTGTTCAATGACTATAAAGTTACAGTTACCCAAGAGGAGTGATTTCCCGAGCTCTTCTGTACAACATAGTGCCTATAGTTAACAATAAGGTATTGTGAACTTAAAAATTTGTTAAGATGATAGATTTCATGTTAAGTGTTCTTACTATTGTTGGTGCGCCAGTTCAGGTTCTTGACTTTGCAGCACAAAAGAATATGAGAGTGAGTTCAAAGTAGGAGTAGGCCAAGTAATTTATCACAAAGCAAAAGTACACTCTGAGAGGCAGAGCAAGTTTCTCAGAGGGAGAGACAGCAGCTAGACCCTTAAGAGGAATTTCTTTTATGGGAGTTGTTTATGCATATTCATAAAATACTGCTGAGATTAAAACTGCAAAGGCAAACCGGCAGTTGGTGCATGCACTTAGCAACTACATGCTCTAACATGTATGGTTTGTATTATTAGCATATAAAATCTCCATCTCAGGGTGTGTTTTTTACTATTAAAATGAGGAAAAGGTCAGTATAAGCTAAACCTTGAGCCTCCCTGTGCATGTGAGACACTGGCAATAATTTGTAGCAAATAGCTTCTTAGGCTTTTGGTGCTGATTGGTTGGAAATTGGGGAAGCTACATCAGGAATAAGGGATTTTTGTTCTCTTTTCTGGGCTGTACTAGGTATAAGGAACTTGTAACCATCGGAAGTCCACTGGTATCCTGTAAGACCACTTAGCTTGCAAAAAAGTTAGGTGCTGATGCATGAGTGTGCAAGAGAAAGGAGCCTGCTGTGAAAGGATCCTGTGGGACTTCACACAAAGGGACAAGTCAGTATGACCCCCTAACATTTCTTATCCGACCTCATTTTGCACACACACACACACACACACACACACACTCAAAATATAATTCTTGCTGTTTCTCTTAGTGACAGTATATCCCCCCTTAAAGAGCCAGGAACTCCAAATCCATAGAGCCTAGCTTTGTGGGGACTGAAAGCAAAAATTCCCCAAGTAGGTCACTGAGAGTCATGCTAAACAGAGCCACTTTCTTTTCACTCCTTGATTTCTGGATTCATGTATTCAGTATAATATAGCACCGTAGAACTGTTGTTGATTTAGAGTTGTATATTACATCCTGGAGGATGGAGGCTTGAGGGTACCATTTCATAGCTGACATCTCAATTGCATCTTCAAAAGTCTCTGCCATTGTTCTATTAGGACAGCAACTTATGGGCTGTACTGTATGTGATAGGATTTTAGTCATGTGCCCACTGACATATTTCCTTTTCTGATAATTCTGTCTTTTGATCCAATACAATATGTGGAATTTCATGTTCGTAGGTGTTTGGAAGCCTCATTCTAAAGGACAAGCCTTTTGGGTAGAGAAGGCAAACCCACACTTGGAATATATGCTGATTCTAGTCAGATGAATTACTTTCAGTTCTAGCGTAGAAGAGATACAAAACACAGACAACTTGTGACCAATGTGTCATGTTGGTCTCTGAGAGTAGATGTTGGCAAATTTTTCTGCAAAATGATAGATAATAGATATTTTAAGTTTTGTGGGCTAAAGTCTCCACCATAACTCAACTTTGCTGTTGTTGCATAAAAGCAGTCATAGAAAACGCATAAACATATGAGAGTGGTTTTGTTCAGATAATATTTTACTCACAAAAAAGGCAATAAGTTGGATTTGGATCATGAGCCATAGTGTGTCAGCCCCTGGCTAGGAGAACTGCCCATGTCAAGGAGCTTAAAATTGGTCTCTATTGTTGGAAAGTTGAACAGTGAGCAGTAGCAGTAGCTAGATCAGTACTGATGAGTGACTTTGCTTTCAGGGCCATGCCTAGCTTCCAGCCCTGCAATGGCTATTTTATGTATGTGTTTATATTGCCAGCATGTGGGTTACCAATTACAGAAACTGGTGACTTTATGAATCATTCTGTTTAGTTAATTTAGTACTAAATTAACTGGTGAACAGTTTCTAAGGTGGTCCTCTGAAACTGCATATAGAGTTTATCTCCCAGCCTCCCTGGAATACATATATCTTACTAAGGCCTCCAATGCACTGGCCACCTCTTGCTCATTTGTTCTTATCAGCTTGAGTCCATCAATACAGTCAACCATTGTGATATTATCTGGATTTCCAGACCTCTCAGGTTTCTTTGAACTTAAATTATACTATAAGGAAGAGCAGACAAGTTTGTGTAGCCTTGGAACAAGACTGGAACTGTTAACTATTATCTCGTCGAAGAGAATCTTGGCTAAACATGGCCAAAGCATGGGTGGAGGAGCCAGTTTCAGAGGCTTTTACTTGTTCCTTACAAATGAAGTTGCCTTTAACCCACAATCCAAGGTATTGCTATGCCAGTCACCCATGTCTATCCCAATGATGTACTGAGGAAGCGGTGAATAGCCATCATAGAGTCTATGTTCCCAGTAGATGACTCACTCTGAACTGGCACTATACCAGGACTCGGTTTACTACCTGCCGTTTATATGCCTCCACTCTTAATATTAGTACAGTGGTGATCCTTTTAATCCTGTATATCAATGTCTATTCAATCCTTGTGTGTCCTCCAAATATCTGGTTATTCCCCAAACACCAGCAATGCTTCACAAAGAAAATACAGCTATACATTCATTTAGGAAAGCATTGAAAGAATTGAGAGACTTTATATTTTAAACACGTGTTGTAGTGCTGTAGGACACTTTCTCCTAAGGATTCATGTTTCCCTTAGTAAGTTCCATGTTTGAAAACAGCTCAGATTTAGAACCTGGGCAAAGGATTATTATGCCTTTCTGTGAGGCCAACTGCCATCAGCCTCCTGAATATACATTCTTGATTTCTTTGGCTTAAATATTTTAAGCAATGCTTTTGTTGGTTGGTCTTCTATCTTGCTCCTGGGAATGCAATGTTTCATTAAGCATCATTTTAGTTCTCTTCAAATCAAACCCTCCATGCTCCCACTAAAAAAATTCGACTTGCTATGAAATTGTACTCACCTTGCTTCTAATAGTTAAGAAACACCACTCAGACTTTAGAATTTTAGGTTTCTAGCATCCTCATTGCTAGCAGAAAACTCAAATAAGTCACTATATCTCCTGCCATCAACCCTAGCCTAAACAGGACAGCCACCAATGAATACCTCATTGGCGCTGGCATCCTTTCCAGTAGGCCATTATTGCAATTATAAATAGAATCCTCTCCAAACTTTTTGTTGCAATATGATTATCTAGTGAGTATCCTGGCCTTATTCATTATATTCATTCTTTAGCATGCCTAAATTTCTGGGCCTTTTGATCCCTTCTTATATCATCTTTGATGAGAGTTCTGGCTTTTCTACTTCACTTTTTAGGTGCTTCCATTTTCCCCACTTTCTAAGAGCCTTTCTAGCAGCATATTAGCATTTTTTTCTGAGATCTCTTGCTAGGATGTTAATGTTATCAGGGAAATATTATCATAATAATAATGTCTATTATCCAAATTTATGTTCTGCTCCCTTTGACTCAGCATCTTCTGTCTCCTACATACTCTCTCAGCCCCTCCTAATACCTATTGGCCAGTCAAGCATTTATAGCCCCTATCATCCATTTGCTACACAAGACTTCCCTGGATTGGTTATGGAGTGACTTAACTCTGGTTATTGGTTTAGTGGCCATAACGGAACTTGGGGATGATTGTGGTGGGGTGGGTTCTTTTCATACAGGGCAGAGTCCTGTGCAGCATATTAAAGAAAAAAGATCAGTTTCTTAGCTGCTAAGAGTGGGGATTGAAGCACCACTTCTAAAACTTGAGAGATTTTAGGGAATCTGAGAGTTTTATGTACCAACCCAGATGTTTCCTTTTAGAGATTTCAGTTGCATTCCTTCCCAGTCAGAGTCCTGACTTCAGCACAGCAGACCTGCTTAGTTGAAAATGCAACATTCTTTGAAGTTCTGTTACTGGACCTGATTTTCAGCTTTCTCTGCCCTCTAGCTGCAGGAAACTAGATATCTTCACTTGCTGCCAAGGAAGCTTTCTGGCTTTCACATCTAGCCTTTAATTACTGATTAATTATCCTCAACCTTTTATTATCTTTTGCCACAAAGTTCCCCAAGCAAAATTCATCCCATTCAAAAGTCATCAATCTAATTCTTTATATTACAAATGACTGATAATATTGTGCCTATTAGTATATTTTCTTCCACAGTTTATTCTATCCCAGTTCTCCTTGAGTGAACACTTTAACAATTGTGCTGCTATCTTAAGCTGGGCTGTCTCTGTTCCACTACCACCAGTGAGGTGCTCTGCCATCTGGCCAACTTATGATCCAGCTCTAAAATATTAGCATGAGGCCCACTTTCTTTGCCAATAACCATTATCAACTATTATATGTTGTTTACCTGGAAAGCAGACATTGAGGTGGAAATTGGCATGTGGAAATGTATTGGGGAATGCATATCAGTGAGGGAAGGAAGGAGTCAGAATTAGACTAAAGGAAAACTTAGCTTCAATGAAGTCAGAACAAGGCCTTGTGAAACTGGAATTACTTTTCTGATTTATCTTTAGTTGGGGAAAAGGATAGGGAAAATACAACTCCAAATAGGCCAGTCACTGGTTTTAGGCTGACCCTAGAAAGAATGTGTGATCTTGTCAGCCATATCTGGAAAGAGCTGCCAGCTGAGAGCTCTTAATCAGCAACACTCTCAGAAGTTGAAGCGAGGGTTTTGCTAGTTGAGTGCACTGTGCATTACCTTAAGGTTACCACTATTTTGTTTCATGTTACATGAATTCTCAGCAGTGTTTGATAGTCATGATGTGTATGAAATGACATGATTTGTTTTTTATTCATCTTCTGGTTACTACTTTTTTTTTTTTTTTTTTTTTTTTTTTTTACATATAATGTCTTCTTTTCTTGCTCTAAACTTGCTTTTTAGATTATCTCATCTATTCCCTGACTTAAATATCAGCTATATAAATCAGGACTCCATAATTCATGTCTCTAGTCCACATCTTTCCTCTGAGTTCTAGGGTCCTATATACATTTGCTTGTTGGACAATTCTGCTTCATTGTCTAAAAGGTAATTCAAAATTAAATCTCAAAAGTAAAAGAACAAATTTTGACCTTATTCATTATCCCAGTCTAAATCTGTTTGTCTACCAGTTTCCTAATTGTCAGCAAATGTAATTACTATCTAGCCTGGTGATCATATCAGAAATCTTGAGGTTATTATTTATACCTCCTATGAGCCTCACCCTGAATCCAATCCATAATCAAGGACTATCAGTTTTCTCTACTGCCTTAACCTTATTTTAAGCTACCATATTTCTATTCTAGACAAAGTCACTAGTCTCCTTACTGATTTCTTGATTCTATTCTTGTCTCCTCATCACTTTCATCATTCAGTATTGAGAATAAACCTCTCAAAGCATAAATCAGGTCATTTCACTGCCACCATTTAAATAATTTTTTGTAATATTATTTATAAATTAACATCTCCTTATTATAGCCTACAAAACCCATCTTGCTTGTGGCTTCTCATTATCTTGGCTTCCCCAATCTATATTTCCATTTCACCTCCCTATTCTCATGTCCTCAAATACAGCAAGTTATTTCACATATCAGGGTCTTTCATATGACTTTTTGTTTTTCTGCATCAAACTTTCTTGAATTCTTCGTATGACTGACACCTGCCTCCTTTTCTTCAGACTTTAGCTTGTCACATTCTCAGAGAGGTCTTCCCTGCCCACTGTTTCTGAGTATAGCCCCCACACTTGAAGCTTGTTATTCTCTATGCCTGCACTGTGATCATTTACATAACTTATTGCCATTTCCCATCCTATATTTTTTAGTTGCTTGTGGTCTCTCTATTCTAACAGACTTGGAGCTTCATGCAAACTTAGACTTCATCTACTTTATTGTGTTTGTTGTTCATTTATGTGAATATTTGCCTGAAATACAGTGGGCTTTTATTATATATTTTATGAATATACATAAATATCAATTTAGTGAATACAAATTGGTTTTTACAGATGAATCACAGGAAGCTAATGCTGCCGTGGGTACTTCTACATTGTAGATACCTAATATATCCTGAAAACAAGGACATTTACTTTTTCAAATAAATCATTTTTTGCTACATGAATGGGAAGCTTCCAGTGAAAATTTCTAGTCTTATTGTGAGTACAAGGCTGGAGTGAAGCCACCCAAAATAGTATCAAAGTTTAATTAAATTAACACATCAGATATAACACATTTAATCATTCTAACGATTGAAACCATTTTACCCTTATTTGACAGCAAAACTACTTATAGACCAACTGCAAGGGATTTTAAGATATTTAGGATTTAAAAAAAAAAGAAAATTACGAATACCTCTGCAATCAAAGGAGAAGTAAGTGAATTTATCACTTACTTGATGCTTTACAGTTTTTTATAGTTTTCTGAAATTTGAATATTTTATAATGAAATACATATTATTTTGAATATAAAATTATTCTATTATTAATTATTCTATTATATTTTTACACCTCATTTTTTACTGAGGCCATATATTATCTTGACTGCCTTTGATTTGTTTCTACTTCTTTGCAGCCACTTTCTGCATCCTTATACTCACGGGCGGCAATATCATGAAACTACTTTTAAATGCCATGATCTTAAAAAAATTCATTTGTTATTTTATACATTCAACATTGGGTATATTTCATTTATTCTGTTCATAGGAATGAGAATGTCTTAATCCGAGATCATATTTAATATTTCTATAGAGAGATCTCATGCATGATCTTTCCTGTACCCCTAGATTAACTACCAATTCCTACCATTCATAGGTTTGAGCTATTTAAATATTTAACAATCACTTTGTTTTGCTCCTTTACACAACCAATTCTTTTTTTTTCATTATTACACTTTAAGTTCTAGGGTACATTTGCACAACCTGCAGGTTTGTTACATAGGTATACATGTGCCATGTTGGTGTGCTGCACCCATCAACTCATCATTTACATCAGGTATTTCTACTAATGCTATCCCTCCGTCAGCCCCCTACCCCTCAACAGGCCCCAGTGTGTGATGTTCCCCTCCCTGTGTCCATGTGTTCTCATTGTACAATTCCCACTTATGAGTGAGAACATGTGGTGTTTGTTTCCTGTCCTTGTGATGTTTTGCTGAGAATGATGGTTTCCAGCTTCATCCATGTCCCTGCAAAGGACATGAACTCATCCTTTTTTACGGTTGCATAGTATTTTATAGTGTGTATGTGACGAATTTTATTTATCCAGTCTATTAGTGATGGACATTTGGGTTGGTTCCAAGTCTTTGCTATTGTGAATAGTGCTGCAATGAACATACGTGTGCATATGTCTTTATGGTAGCATGATTTATAATCCTTTGGGTATATACCCAGTAATGGGATTGCTGGGTCAAATGGTATTTCTAGTTCGAGATCCTTGAGGAATCACCACACTATCTTCCACAATGGTTGAAATAATTGACTCTCCCACCAACGGTATAAAAGCATTCCTCTTTCTCCACAACCTCTCCAGAATCTGTTGTTTCCTGACTTTTTAATGATTACCATTCTAACTGGTGTGAGATGGTATCTAACTGTGGTTTTGATGTGCATTTCTCTGATGACCAGTGATGGTGAGCATTTATTCATATTTCTGTTGGCTGCATAAATGTCTTCTATTGAGAAGTGTCTGTTCATATCCTTTGCCCACTTTTTGATGGGGTTGTTTTTTACTTGTAAATTTGTTTAAGTTCTTAGTAGATTCTGGATATTAGCCCTTTGTCAGATGGATACATTGCAAAAATTTTCTCCCATACTGAAGGTTGCCTGTTCACTCCGATGATAGTTTCTTTTGCTGTGCAGAAGCTCCTTAGTTTAATTAGATCCCATTTGTCTATGTTGGCTTTTGTTGCCATTGCTTTTGGTGTTTTAGTCATGAAGTCTTTGCCCATGCCTATGTCCTGAATGGTATTGCCTAGGTTTTCTTCCAGAGTTTTCATGGTTTTAGGTCTTACATTTAAATCTTTAATCCACCTTGAGTTAATTTTTGTATGAGGTGTAAGGAAAGGATCCAGTTTCAGCTTTCTACATATGGCTAGCAAATTTTCCCAGTACCATTTACTAAATAGGGAATCCTTTCCCCATGCTTTTTTTGTCAGGTTTGTCAAAGTTCAGATGGTTGTAGATGAGTGGTGTTATATCTGAGGCCTCCATTATGTTCCATTGGTCTATATCTCTGTTTTGGTACCAGTACCATGCTGTTTTGGTTACTGTAGCTTTGTAGTATAGTTTGAAGTCAGGTAGCGTGATGCCTCCAGCTTTGTTCTTTTTGCTTAGGATTGTCTTGGCTATGCGTTCTCTTTTTTGGTTCTGTATAAAATTTTAAGTAGTTTTTTTCCAATTCTGTGAAAAAGTCAATGGTAGTTTGATGGGGATAGCACTGAACCTATAAATTACCTTGGGCAGTATGGCCATTTTCATGGTATTGATTCTTCCTATTCATGAGCATGTAATGTTTTAACATTTGTTTGTGTCCTCTTTTATTTCATTAAGCAGTGGTTTGTAGTTCTCCTTGAAGAGGTCCTTCACATCCCTTGTAAGTTGGATTCCTAGGTATTTTATTCTCTTTGTAGTAATTGTGAATGGGAGTTCACTCATGATTTGGCCTCTGTTGGTCTGTTCTTGGTGTATAGGAATACTTGTAATTTTTGCAGATTGATTTTGTATCCTAGGACTTTGCTGAAGTTGCTTATCAGCTTAAGGAGATTTAGGGCTGAAACGATGGGGTTTTCTAAATATACAATCATGTCATCTGCAAACAGAGATGATTTGACTCCCTCTTTTCCTAATTGAATACCCTTTCTTTCTTTCTCCTGCCTGATTGCCCTGGCCAGAAAGTCCAATACTATGTTGAATAGGAGTGGTGAGAGACGGCATCCTTGTCTTGTGCTGGTTTTCAAAGGGAATGCTTCCAGTTGTCGCTCATTCAGTATGATATTTGCTGTGGGATTGTCATAAACAGCTCTTATTATTTTTAGATATGTTCCATCAATACCTAGTTTATTGAGAGTTTTTAGCATGTAAGGCTGTTGAATTTTGTCAAAGGCCTTTTCCACATCTATTGAGATAATCATGTGGTTTTTGTCATTGGTTCTGTTTATGTGATGGATTACGTTTATTGATTTTTGTATGTTGAACCAGCCTTGCGTCCCAGGGGTGAAGCCCACTTGATCGTGGTGGATAAGCTTTTTTGGGTGCTGCTGGATTCCGTTTTCCAGTATTTTATTGAGGATTTTTGCATTGATGTTCATCAGGGTTATTGGCCTAAAATTCTCTTTTTTTTTGTTGTATCTCTGCCAGGCTTTGGTATAAGGATGATGCTGGCCTCATAAAATGAGATAGGGAGGATTTCCTCTTTTTCTATTGATTGGAATAGTTTCAGAAGGAATGGCACCAGCTCCTCTTTGTAGCTCTGGTAGAATTCAGCTGTGAATCCATCTGGTCCTGGACTTTTTTTGGTTGGTAGGCTATTAATTATTGCCTCAATTTCAGAACTTCTTATTGGTCTATTCAGAGATTCAACTTCTTCCTGGTTTGGTCTTGGGAGGGTGTATGTGTCCAGGAACTTATCTATTTCTTCTAAATTTTCTAGGTTATTTGTGTAGAGGTGTTTGTAGTGTTCTCTGATGGTAGTTTGTATTTCTGTCGGATTGGTGATTATATCCCCTTTATCATTTTTTATTGCATCTATTTGATTCTTCTCTCTTTTCTGCTTTATTAGTCTTGATATCAGTCTATCTACTTCATTGATCATTTCAAAAAATAGCCCCTGGATTCACTGATTTTTGAAGGGTTTTTTGTGTTTCTATTTCCTTCAGTTCTGCTCTGATCCTAGTTATCTCTTATCTTCTGCTAGCTTTTGAATTTGTTTGCTCTTGCTTCTCTAGTTCTTTTAATTGTGATGTTAGGGTGTCAATTTTCGATCTTTCCTGCTTTCTCCTTTGGGCATTTAGTGCTATAAATTTCCTTCTACACACTTTTTTATCTGTGTCCTAGAGGTTCTGGTACAGTGTGTCTTTGTTCTCATTGGTTTTGAAGAAGATCTTTATTTCTGCCTTCTTTTTGTTATTTACCCAGTAGTCATTCAGGAGCAGATTGTTAGGTTTCCATGTAGTTGTGTGGTTTTGAGTGAGTTTCTAAATCTCGAGATCTAAATTGATTGCATTGTGGTCTGAGAGACAGTTTATTGTGATTTCTGTTATTTTATATTTGCTGAGGAGTGTTTTACTTCCAATTATGTGGTCAATTTTAGAATAACTGTGACGTGGTGCTAAGAAGAATGTATATTCTGTTGATTTGGTGTGGAGAGTTCTGCTTGGTGCAGAGCTGAGTTCAAGACCTGGGTATCTTTGTTAAACTTCTGTCTCATTGATTTGTCTAATATTGGCAGTGGGGTGTTAAAATCTCTCATTATTATTGTGTGGGAGTCTAAGTCTCTTTGTAGGTCTCTAAGAACTTGCTTTATGAATCTGGGTATTCCTGTATTGGGTGCATATATATTTAAGATAGTTAGCTCTTCTTGTTGAATTGATCCCTTTACCATTATGTAATGGCTTTCTTTGTCTCTTTTGATCTTTGTTGGTTTAAAGTCTGTTTTATCAGAGACAAGGATTGCAACCCCTGCTTTTTTTTTGTTTCCATTTGCTTGGTAGATCTTTCTCCATCCCTTTACTTAGAGCCTATGTGTGTCTTTGCACATAAGATGTGTCTCCTGAATACAGCATACCAATGGGTCTTGACTCTTTATCCAATTTGCCAGTCTGTGTTTTTTAATTGAGGCATTAAGCCCATTTCCATTTAAGGTTAATGTTGTTATGTGTGAAATTTTTCCTGTCATTATGATGCTAACTGGTTATTTCGCCCATTAATTTATGCAGTTTCTTCATAGTGTTGATGGTCTTTACACTTTGGCATGTTTTTGCAGTGGCTGGTACCATTTGTTCCTTTCCATGTTTAGTGCTTCCTTCAGGAGCTCTTGTAAGGCAGGCCTGGTGGTGACAAAATCTCTCAGCATTTGCTTGTCTGTAAAGGATTTTATTTCTCCTTCACTGATGAAGCTTAGTTTGGCTGGATATGAAATTCTGGGTTGAAAATTCTTTTCTTTAATAATGTTGAATATTTGTCCCTGCTCTCTTCTGGCTTGTAAGGTTTCTGCAGAGAGATCTGCTGTTAGTCTGATGGATTTCCCTTTGTGGGTAACCCAACCTTTCTCTCTGGCTATCCTTAAAATTTTTTCCTTCATTTCAATCTTGGTGAATCTGACAATTTTGTGTCTTGGGGTTGCTCTTCTGGAGGAGTATCTCTGTGGTGTTCTCTATATTTCCTGAATTCGAATATTGGCCTACCTTGCTAGGTTGGGGAAGCTCCCCTGGATAATATCCTGAAGGGTGTTTTCTAACTTGGTTCCATGCTCCTCATCACTTTCTGGTACACCAATCAAATATAGATTTGGTATTTTCACAAAGTGCCATATTTCTTTGAGGCTTTGTTCATTTCTTCTTACTCTTTTTTTCTTTAATCTTGTCTTCTCACTTTATTTCATTAATTTGATCTTCAATCACTGATATCCTTTCTTCTGCTTGATCAAATCGGCTATTGAAGCTTATGTACGCTTCATAAAGTACTCATACTGTGGTATTCAGCCCCATCAGGACAATTAATCTCTTCTTTACACTGGTTATTCTAGTTAGCCATTCATCTAACCTTTTTTCAAGGTTTTTAGCTTCCTTGCCATGGGTTAGGATATGATCCTTTAGCTTGGAAAGTTTGTTATTACTGACATTCTGAAGGCTACTCCTGTCAACTTGTCAAATTCATTCTCTGTCCAGTTTTGTTCCCTTGCTGGTGAGGAGTTGTGTTCATTTGGGGGAGAAGAGGTGTTCTGGTTTTTGGAATTTTCAGGCTATCTGCTCTGGTTTTTCCCTATCTTTGTGGTTTTGTCTACCTTTGGTCTTTGATATTGGTGACATATGGAGGGGTTTTGGTGTGGATGTCCCTTTTGTTGATGCTGTTCCTTTCTGTTTGTTAGTTTTCCTTCTAACAGACAGGCCCCTCAGCTACAGGTCTGTTGGAGTTTGCTGGAGGTCCACTCCAGACCCTGTTTGCCTGCATATCACCAGCGGAGGCTGCAGAACAGCAAATATTGCTGCGGGAACCTTCCTCTGGAATATTCATCCCAGAGGGGCACCCGCCTGTATGAGGTGTCTGTCGGCCCCTACTGGAAGGTGTCTCCCAGTCAGGCCACACAGGAGTCAGGGACCCACTTGAGAAGGCAGTCTGTCCATTATCAGAGCTCGAACACTGTGCTGGGAGAACTACTGCTCTCTTCAGGGCTGTCAGGCAGGGACGTTTAAGTCTGCACAAGCTGTCTGCTGCCTTTTGTTCAGATATGTTCTGCCCTCAGAGGTGGAATCTAGAGAGGCAGTAGGCCTTGCTGAGTGTGATGCGCTCCACCCAGTTCAAGTTTTCCTGCCACTTTGTTTACCCTGTGAGCATAGAACCGCCTACTCAAGCCTCAGCAATGGCGGATGCCCCTCCCCCCACCAAGCTTTAGCATCCCAGGTCAATCTCAGACTGCTAAGCTAGCAGCGAGCAAGGCTCCGTGGGTGTGGGACCTGCTGAGCCAGGCACAGGAGGGAGTCTCCTGATCTGCTGGTTGTGAAGATGGTGGGAAAATCGCAGTATTTGGGCAGAAGTCTACCATTCCTCCAGGTGCAGTCACTTACAGCTTCCCTTGGCTAGGAAAGGGAAATCCCCCAACCCCCTGTGCTTCCCAGTTGAGGCAATGCCCCACCCTGCCTCAGCTCACCTTCCATGTGCTGCATCCACTGTCCAACCAGTCCCAATGAGATGAACCAGGTACCTCAGTTGGAAATGCAGAAATCACCCATCTTCTGTATCAGTCTCGCTGGGAGCTATAGACCAGAGCTGTTCCTATTCAGTCATCTTGGAAGCGACCCTACACAACCAATTCTTATGGAGCACTCCCTGTGTTCCAATTATTTTTCTACTCAGTGCGGTTACTCTATGTAAAAAAGTAGACAAAAAAATCCCACCTTTGAGAAGCAAATATTAATAAAGGGTGACAGACACGGAACCATAGTGAGTGAATAAGTTGTATAGTCCATTAGTAGACATTAATTGCTACTAAAATAAACAAACAAACAAACAAAGAAAACAGCATATAAGAGGAATTTAGAGTATGGTGTTCCTGACAAATATTACTATTATAGTTAATATTTAACTCTCTAAAGGGGATGCCTCATGAAAAAGTTATCTTTGAACAGGCTTGACATTATTGAATAAAGGAGCTATCTGGATATATGAAGGAAGAGCATTTCAAAGAGAAGAAGCAGCTAATGGAAAGGCCCTGAGGTTGGCGCATCCCCAGCATTTCTCGACATGACACAAGAGACCAATATGCAAAGTGTACGAGAGAAGAAGAATAGATCAGAAAGAAAATGTTTACGATAGGGGCTAGAAATGGGAGTCAAGCAGATCTCTTAATGTCTCCAATCTATAATACAGACTTTAATTTTTATTCTAAGTTAATTTTGGAAGTATTGGACGGTTCTGGGTAAAGTTGTGATGTGATCTGACCTGTTTTTTTAAAGCCCATTTTGACTGCTGGATTAAGAAACTATTGTAAAAACCTAAGTAAGAGATAATGGTGGTTTTGACCAGGAGGAAAGTGGTTAAAAGTAATCCAATTCTGCATATATTTTGAAAGTAGAGCAAAAAGAATTTACTTTGAGAAATGATATCTGTCAGCATACAAAAGATATTTTATTTCTAATACTAAAATATATTTCAGGTTATTCTATTCCACATCCGTAAGATACTGATCACAGGAGCATCCAGGCACTTTGCAGAGTGACTAAAGATAAAATACAGATAATAACCATTATATCACAAAGTGACAGAACCTGGGATGATACTACTGTCAAAACCAATATTCTCATAAGATAAATATATGTGCATTGCCTATCTTGCAAGAGTAGACTAAAAATTTTCAGTGGGGTTAAATTTTATAAGTGATTTGAACATATATAGACAAAAACATCTCACATATTTTATAGATATACATGAATCTATAAATAAAGAAATGAAAGAAATACACAGCACCCAGTTCTGTTATAGCAGAAAGGAAAAGAAAGGTACATTAAATTTTTGCTGTGAGGTATGCAGTGGTAATAACTCATCTGCTCCTTGTGGTAATAACAGCTCTGTTGCTAACGTTCAAGATTTTTTTGAAAATAATATTTGTTGAAAATGAATTGTCTGAGTGTTAACCATCCCTATTTTTCAAATAGTAGTGTTTTATTTCCAGTTAAATTATCTTATTAGATGTTCCTATCAGCATAGCAGAGCAGTGGCTACTACTATTCTTTCCCAAATTGGAAAAATGAATAACCAAGATACTCTTTTAAAAATATTCATTTCAACGTGTTTGTAGTATTGAAATAAAATTTTAAAATGCAAGTGACTCCAGATGACTGAAAATTTCTTCAATATATGTAAATAATTCACTTTATTAGGAAAATTATCTTCAGCGTACAGAAACACACACATGCATATTCATATTCTATGTTTAATTTAACATTTAAATTCTACTGTGTAATATTTAGACATCTAATACATTTATTTCTTTTCCTTTTATTTCACTCTCTGTTTCTCTCTCTTACCATTTGATTTTTGTTTGATTTTTGTTTGTTTCTATTATCTGCTCTTCTAAAAATTTCAAGTGAAACAGAATATTATCTCAATATTTAAACTGAGACCCTGGTATGCCTGATATCATGAAGTCATTTTTATTAAGATCACTAATATATATGTATTATTCTATCTTATATATATCTTAGTTATTATTTGTGTTATAGTAATATTTCTATCAATGAAATCAAAACAACTATTAAGCAGTCTGTACACAATTTAGAATTTACTCTTTCAATATAATTTTAAAATACAGAAAAGTCAACCATATTTTATATAGTTTTAAGTATCTAATCCTAGAAAATTAGCAAAATAATATACAAAAATTCAGAAAGAATTGATGCATGTTTACCATTGCAAAATATAAAATTAATATACGAATTTTTTTCTTTTTTATTTCTGATTAAAGTATAGCTGAATTTTTATATTCTATGCAAATGGATAAAAATAATAAGTGAAACGTGAATTTGCTGATAGTATTAACACCTTATCTCAAAATTCAACACTTGCTGCTGGTACTTCATCTTTTCATGTAAGTACGTTCTTTACCATGTAACATTGCAGTTCCTCCCACAGTTCCGGAGAACACTGTTCTCTATCTTGGTTTTAGGTTTAGCCAAGTGATTTGATCTGCCAAATGGGATGTAAGTGGGTGTGACATGAGGAGAACCTTAAGACGTGCTTGTGCAATGGGATTTTACTTTTGTGTTTTTAACATAACCATGAAAAGAGATTTCCTCTGCTATCAGTTGCATCTTCAGCTGGGCCTAAGAATGATTTCTTGTGGCACATAGCCAAAAGAGGCTGAAGGAAAAAACTAGAAAATCTGAATAGAACTACAAGGAATAAAGACATTGAATACATAATTAAATACCTCTCAACAAATAAAATGCTAAGGCTAGATGGTTTCACTGGAAAATTCCACTAAACATTTAAAGAAAGATTACTACCTATTCATCTCAAATTCTTCCAAGAAATAGAAGAGGAGGGAATACTAGCTAACTCATTCTATGAGGCTAGTATTACAAGGACACCAGAATAAGACACCTGCTTTCACCACTTTTACTTAACATAGTACTAGCAGTGCTGCCCAAAATATGATAAAAAAAAAAAAAGCATCCGAACCAAAGAAAAAAGCACTCTATTTTCTAGATAACATCAGTCTATACATAGACCATATTAAAGAATCCAGACATACCCAAAAACTGTTAGAGGTAATAAATGAAATTATCAAAGTTGCAGGATACAAGATCAATACTCAAAAAATTATTTGCTTTACCATAGATTACAAATCCATAATCTGAAAAGAAAATTAAGAAAAGAATTATATTTATAATAACATCAAAAATGATAAAATACTAGGGACTCATTTAATTAAGATGGTACAAGACCCTATACTAAAAACCACAAATCATTGCTGAAATTAAAGTAAATCTAAACAAATAAAAATATGTTGCATGTCCATTGATTGGATGACAGCATTTTTAAGATGGCAATATTCCCTAAAGCAGTCTACACATTCAAAGCAAAAATTTACAAATATCTGCACAAAAATACAAAATTTCTGCAAAAATTTATCTTTTTAAAACAGAAACAGAAATCCTAAAATTTTTATAAAATTAGAAGGGCCCAGAATAGCCAAAACAATACTGAAAATAACAAAGTTAGAGAATTCACATTTCTCAATTTTAAAATTTACTGCAAAGCTACCTTAATCAAAACAGTGTGCTATTGGCATAAAGCTAGACATAAGAATCAATGAAATAGAATTGACTATTGAGAAATCAATGCATACATCTATAGTAAATTTACTTTTGTCAAGGGTGCTGAGACCACAAAATAGGGAAAAGATATCTCTTCAACAAATTATGATAACTGATATTCACTTGCCCAACAAAAAAAAATTACCCTATACCATATATAAAAACGTAACTAAAAATGGATAAAAAATCTAGATATGTGCTAAAACTATGAAACTCTTAGAAATGTAAATATGATTATATTTTAAGGACCTTGGATTTGTTAAGGGATTCTTAGATGTGACACCAAATGTACAATAAACAGTATATTAAAATAAATAAATAAATTACACTTTATCAAAATTAAAATTATTTTTACATCAAAGGATACTATCAAGAAAATGCAAAGACAATCCACTGAATGAGAGAAAATATTTACAAACTGTTTCTCTGCTGAGAATCTAAGAACTCCTACAACTCAACAACTACTAAATAAACAATCCAACTTAAAAATTGGTAAAGGACTTAAATACAATATTTTTTAAAAGAAAGATATATTAATGGCACACAAGCACAAGGAACAATGCTCAATACCATTAGCCATTTAGGAAATGCAATTTAAAACCACAATGAGATACAACTTACCTAGGTTGTAAAAAGGAAAAGTTTTTGAAGAATATTGCTACTCTAGTGAATACACAAATAAAACGAAAGTAAAACAGCCTTATTGCTGACATGGAGAAAAGCTTAGTGGTCTGGATAAAAAATCAAACCAGCCACAACATTCCCTTAAGATAAAGCCTAATTTAGAGCAAGGTCTTAACTCTCTGCAATTCTATGAAGCCTGAGAGAGGTAAGAAAGTTGCAGAAGAAAAGTTTGCAGCTAGCAGGTGTTGGTTCATCAGGTTTTAGGAAAGAAGCTATCTCCATAACATAAAAGTGCAAGGTGAAGCAGCAACTGCTGATGTAGAAACTGCAGCAAGGTATCCAGAATACCTAGCTAAGAGATTTGATAAAGGTGGTTACATTAAACAATAGGTTTCTAATGTAGACAACACAACCTTAAAGTAGAGGAAGATGTTAAGAACTTTTCATAGCTAGAGAGGAAAAGTCAATATCTAGCTTCAAAGTTTCATAAGAGACTGCCTCTCTCATTAGGGGTTAATGCAGCTCATAACTTTAACTTGAAGTCAATGCTCATTTACCATTTTGAAAATCCTAAGGCTCTTAAAAATAATGCTAAGTCAACTTTGCCTGTGCACCCTGCGCCCACTCCACCCACCACACCCGCCACACCACCATTGTCATCAGAGCATTGGCAGGCACAAAGCCAGCCAGGCCAGTCCTTTTCAGCACGCTGCCCCTGCACCAGGGTTGCTGGCATGAAATTACACATGGAAAATAGTAAACCCTCTCCCAGTGCTGAACAGCCACTGTTGCAAGCCCAGCATGAATAAGACCGAGGGTGCATGCAGCCCTGTGCCTATCAGCACGCTGCTCTTATGCTAACACTGCCACCAGTGCAAATGCATACACAGTCACCAGTAGGCCCCCACCCCAAGCCATACTGCCCCCACTGCTGCTGCAATGCCCACACAGAGGCTTAGAACCCTGGAACCTAATAGCATCCTGCCCCAGCTGATAAGCAGGCAGCCTGCCATGCTGCTGCTGCTGCTGCTGGAATGTATGAATGGGGATGGATCTCACTGCCACTGCCCTGTGGAGTACTTTGACTGGCACCACCCATCAGAGTGTTGTGAACAGCAGTCTGGGAGCACCTGGACCCCTCCAGGGCAGCAAATTTCTAATTTCAAGGATCCAGAGGTCAAAGCTGGGACCCAATAACAGTCCCCCAGATTAGAGTACACAGCTCAGGAATACTGAGCTGAAACTTGGCCCCCTAAAATGTTACAGTAATAAAGCCAGCTGATTGAACCTACTTTATACACAATCAAACACCAAGGTCATCTAATAGGATAAAAGCAAAAAATAAAACCCATCCAAAGGACAGCAGCTTCATGGATCAAAGGAACATCAGTCCAGAAAGATAAGAAAGAACCAGCACAAGAATTCTGACAACTCAAAAAGCCAGAGTGTCTTTTTTTCTCCAAATGACCACATGAGTTGTCCAGCAAGAGTTCTTAATACAGCTGAGATGACTAAAATCACAGAAAGAGAATTCAGAAAGTGGATAAGAATGAAGATTATCAAGATTCAGGAGAATGATGAAACCCAATCTTCAGAAGCTAAGAGTCACAGTAAAATGATACAGGAGCTGATAGACAAAATAGCCAGTATAGACAAGAACATAACCAACCCGATAGAACTGAAAAACACTATATAAGAATTTCATAGTGCAATAACAAGTATTAATAGCAGAATAGATAAAGCTGAGGAAAGAATCTCAGTGCTTGAACTTGCTTTCTGAAATAAGACAGTTGACAAAAAAAGAATGTAGAATGGAAAGGAACAAACAAAACCTCCAAGAAATATGGGATTATGTAAAGAGGCCAAATTTATGACTTATTGGCCTCCATGAAAGAGATGGTAAGAATGGAACCAACTTGAAAATTATATATCAGAATATCATCCCGGAGAATTTCCCCAACCTAGCTAGGGAGGCCAACATTCAAATTCAGGAAATGCAGAGAACTCCCACAAAATACTTCACAAGAAGATTATCCCTAAGACACATAATCGTCAGATTCTCCAAGGTAAAAATGAAAGAAAACTTGTTAAAGGCAGCTAGAGAGAAAGGACGGGTCACCTACAAAGGGAAGCCTATCAGAGTAACAGTAGACTTCTCAGCAGAAACCCTACAAGCCAGAAGAATTTGGAGCCTATATTCAACATTCTTAAAAAAAATTCCAACCCAGAATTTTATATCTGGCCAACCTAAGCTTCATAAGCAAAGGATAAGTGAGTTCCTTCTCAGACAAGCAAATGCTGAGGGAATTTGTTACCACCAGACTTGCCTTACAAGAGTTCCTGAAGGAAGCACTAAATATGAAAGGAAAAGATTATTACCAGTCACTACAAAAGTACAATTAAGTACACAGACCAGTGACACTATAAAGCAACCACACAAACAAGTCTGCATAATAACCATCTAACAACAAAAAGACGGGAAGAAATCCTCACATATCAATACCAACATTGAATATAAACAGGCTAAATGCCCCAATTAAAAGGCAGAATGTCAAGCTGAATAAAGGAGCAGGACCAAATGTTATGCTGTCTTCAAGAGACCCATTTCACGTGCAATGACACCTATAGACTCAAAATAAAGGGATGGAGAAAAATCTACCAACCAAATGGAAAACAGAAAAAAGCAGAGGTTGTAATTTTAATTTCAGACAAAACAAATTTTTTCAGTCAACAACGATTTAAAAAGACAAAGAAGGGGGATTACAGAATAGTAAAGGGTTCAATACACAAAGAAGACATCACTATCCTACATATATGTGCACCCAACACTTGAGCTCCCAGGTTCATAAAGTAAGTTCTTAGAGACCTTCAAAGAGACATAGACTCCCACATCAGTAGTAGGAGACCTCAACAACCCACTGACAGTATTAGACAGATGATCAAGGCATAAGATTAACAAAGATATTAAGGACCTGAACTTGACACTGCACCAAATGAATCTGATAGACATCTGCAGAACTCTCCACCTAAAAGCAACAGAATATACATTTTTTTATCTGCACATGGCATATACTCCAAAATCAACCAAATAATTAAATATGAAACAATCCTCAGCAAATGCAAAAGAAACAAAATCATACTAACCTCTCTCTCAGATCACAGTACAGTAAAAGTAGAATTCAAGACAAAAAAATTTCTCAAAGCCATAAAATTAACAAAACAATTTGCTCCTAAATAATGTCTTTTTGGTAATAAATAATTTAATGCAGAAATCAAGAAGTTCTTTGAAAACAATGAGAATGAAGATACAATATATCAGAATCTCTGGGACATGGTTTAGGCAACTTTAAGAGGGAAATTTATAGCATTAAATACCCATGTCAAAAACTTAGAAGTATCTCAAATTAACAACTTAAGATCACAACTAAAAGAATGAGAAAAACAAGAGCAAACCAACCCCAAACCTAGCAGAATACAAGAAATAATCAACATCACAATCACAGTTGACTTTATGGAGATTGAGAAACACAAAACTGATCAAAAGATCAATGAACCCAGGAGCTGTTTTTTTGAAAAAAAAAAAAAAAGTAGTAAGATAGAGAGACAACTAGCTAGACTAATAAAGAAGAAAAGAGAGATGATCGAAAGAAACACAATCAGAAACAACAAAAGGGATATTATCACTGTCCCCAGAGAAATACAATTAACTATCAGAGAATATTATGAACACCTCAATGCACACAAACTAGGAAATCCAAAAGAAATGGATAAATTCCTAGACACATACACCCTCCCAAGACAGAACCAGGAAGAAATTGAATCCTTCAACAGACCAACAATGAGTTCGGAAATTAAATCAGTAATGAACAGCCCACCAACCAAAAAAGCCCTATATCTGATGGATTCACAACCAAATTCACAATCAAATCAAAGAGCTGATACCATTCCCACAAAAAGTACTCCAAAACATTGAGTAGGAGGAACTCCTCCCCAACACATTTTATGAGGCCAGTATCATCCTGTTACAAAAACCTGACAGAGAAACAACAAGAAAAAGAAAACTTCAGGCCAATATTCTTGGTAAATATTGATGCAAAAATCCTCAATTAAATACTAGCAAAAGGAATCCAGCAGCACATGAAAACAGCTAATTCACCACAATCAAGTAGGCTTTATCCCTGGGATACAAGATTTGTTCAACATACACAAATCCGTAGACATAATTCATCATATAAACAGAACTAGACAAAAACCACATGATTATCTCAATAGATTCAGAGAAGACTTTCAATAAAATTAAACACCCTTCATGTTAAAAACTGTCAGTAAACTAGGTATTGAAGGATATCTCAATATAATAAGAGCCATCTATGATGAACCCACAGCCAACCTCATACTGAATAGGCAAAAGCTGGAAGCATTCCCTTTGAAAACCAGTGCGAGACCAGGATACCCTCTCTCATCACTTCTATTCAGCATAGTATTGGAAGTTCTGCCCAGGGAAATCAGGCAAAGAAATAAATAAAAGGAATTCAAGTAGGAAGAGAGGAAGTCAAACTATCCCTGTTTGTAAATGACATGATTCCATAATTAGAAAGCCTTATAGTCTCAGCCAAAAAGCTCCTTCAGCTGATAAACAACTTCAGCAAAGTTTCAAGATACAAAATCAATGTACAAAAATTGCTACCATTCTATATGCCAACAACAGCCAAGACGAGAGCATTCAGGAATGCAATCTCATTCCCAATTGCCACAAAAAGAATAATATGCCTAAGAATACCAGCTAACCAGGGAGGTGAATACTATCTACAATGAGAATTACAAAACAGTGCTCAAAAAAATCAGAGATGATACAATTCAAAAGACATTATTCAGGAGAATATTGAAATGGCCATACTGCCCAAAGCAATTTACAAATCCAATTCTATTTTTACCAAACTACCAACAACATTTTCACAAAACTAGAAAAAAAATTAACTTATGTGAGACAAAAAAGCCCAAATAGCAAAGATAATCCTAAACAAAAAGAACAAAGCTGGAGGTATCACACTACCAGACTTCAAACTATACTACAGGGATATGGTAACCAAAACAGCTCAGTACTGGTACAAATACAGACACATAGACAAAGGGAACAGAATTGAGAGCCCAGAAATAAGGCCATAACCTACATCTATCTGATCTTCAACAAAGCTGACAAAAACAAGCAATGGGGAAAAATTCTCTATTCAATAAATGGTGCTGGGATAACTGGCTAGACATATGCAGAAGATTGAAACTGGACTCCTTTCTTATGCCATATACAAAATTCAACTCAAGATGGATGTATTAGGATTCTCTAGAGGAACAGAACTAATAAGTATATGCATATATAAAGGGGAGTTTATTAAGGAGTATTGACTCACACAATCACAAGATGAGGTTACACAACAGGCCATCTGCAAGCTGAGGAGCAAGGAGGCCAGTCGGAGTCCCAAAGCTGAAGAACTTGGAGTCCAATGTTTGAGGGCAGAAAGCATCCAGCGTGGGAGAAAGATGCAAACTGAGAGACTAAGCTAGTCTAGCCTTTTCACGTTCTTCTGCCTGCTTTTATTCTGGCCATGCTGGCAGCTGATTAATTTGTGCCCACCCAGATAGAGAGTGGGTCTGCCTTTCCAGGTCCACTGACTCAAATGTTAATCTCCTTAGGCAACACACTCACAGACACACCCAGGAACAGCACTTTGCATCCTTAAATCCAACCAAGTTGACACTTAATATTAACCATCACCATGGATTAAAGAATTAAATGTAAAACCCAAAACTGTAAAAACCCTGGAAGAAAACTTAGCCAATACCATTCAGGAAATAAGCAGGGGCAAGTATTTCATGACAAAGATGCCAAAAGCAATAGCAACAAAAGCAAAAATTGGCAAATGGAATCTAATTAAATTAAAAAGTTTCTGCACCACAAAAAAACTGTCAACAGAGTAAACAGAAAACCTACAGAGTGGGAGAAACTATGTGCAAACTATGCATCTGCCAAAGATCTAACATCTAGCATCTATAAGGAACTTAAACAACTTTACCAGAAAAAAAAAAAATTAGAAAGGTGGCAAAGAACATGAACAGACACTTTCAAAAAAGACGTATACACTGCCAACAAGCATGTGAAAAGCTGAATATCACTAGTCACTGGAGAATGCAAATCAAAACCACAGTAAGATACCATCTCACACAAATCAGAATGGCTATTATTAAAAAGTCAAAAAAAAAAAAAAAAAAAAAAACAGATGCTGGCAAGAATGCAGAGAAAAGGAAATGCTTTTGCCGAGAGTGTAAATTGGTTCAACCATTGCGGAAAACAGTGTGGTGATTCCTCAAAGAGCTAAAAACAGAGCTACTGTTCAACTCAGCAGTTTCATTATTGAGTATATACCCAAAGTAATATAAAATATTCTAGTATAAAGACACGTATGTACTTATGCTCACTGTTCACATTCGCAAAGAATGGAATCAACCTAAATGTCCATCATTGGAAGTCTGGATAAAGAAAATGTGGTACATATACAACATGGAGTACTATGCAGCCATAAAAAGGATGAGATCATGTCTTGCAGGAACATGAATGGATCAAGAGGCCATTATCCTTATCAGACTAAAGCAAGAACACAAAACCAAATACTGTATGTTCTCACTTATAATTGAGAACTAAATGATAAGAACATTTGGACACAAAGAGGAAAACTGGAGCCTCCCAGAGGGTGTAGGGTGGGAGAAGGGAGAAGAGCAGAAAAAATAATTGAGTACTAGGTTTAGTACCTGAGTGATGAAATAATATGTACATCAAACCCCCTCGGCATGAGTTTACCTATATAACAAATCTTCACATGTACTCCTGAACCTAAAATAAAAGTTATAGATAAAAAATAATAAATTAATTAAATAATAAAATAAAATATTTTGGCTTATTAACAGGGCACTTAGTCAGCCAAGAGCTCTGAAGCCTTGATGGAGATGTCTGAGGAGATTAATGTTTTCATGCCTTCTAACACAACATTCATCCTACAGCCATGAATTAAGAAGTAATTTCAACTTTCAAGTCTTATTATATAAGAAATATATTTTGTAAGGCTATAGCTGGTGCAGAGAGTGATTTCTCTGATGGTTCTAAGTAAAATAAATTGAAAACCTCTGAAAAGGGTTCACTATTGCACATGCCATTAATAACATTTATGATTCATGGGAGGAGGCCAAAATTTCACCATTAACAAAAGTTTGGAAGAAGTTGATTTCAACCCTTGTGGATGACTTTGAGGGTTCAAGACTTTAAGTGAGGAAGTAAATGCAGATGTGGTGGAGCTAGCAGTGGAGCCTGAAGTTGTGACTGAATTCCTGCAATCTCATTCTAAAACTTAAATGAGTAAGGAATTGCTTCTTACGTATGCTCAAAGAAAGTGGTTTATTGAGACCGAATCTTCTCCTGGTAAAGAGGCTGTGAACATCGTTGAAATTACAACAAAAGATTTTGAAAATTACATAAATTAAATTGACAAAGCAGTGGTAGCGTTTGACAGGAGCAATACAAATTTTACCAATTTACTATACTTATCAAATATCATCACATACTGCAGACTAGTATTCCACGGAAGAAAGAATCAGTTGATGTGGCAAACTTCATTTTTGGCTTACTTTAAAGAATTGCCACAATGACCCCAATCTTCAGCAACCACCACCCTGATTAGTCAGCAGCCATCAGTAACAAGGCAGAGCTTCTACCAGCAAAAGGATGTATACAACTCACTCATGGCTCAGATAATTGCTAGCATTTTTTGGTAATAAAATATCTTAAAGTTATATATATTGTTTTTTAGACATAATACTATTGCAAACTTAGATTACAGAATAGTGTAAATATAACTCTTTTGTGCACTGATTAACCAAAATTTTGTATGATTCACTTTATTGTTGTTGTCTGGAATCATATCTCTGAGATATGCTTTGTATACAATCAAGACTTCTACCCCTAATGTACACAGAAACTTACAAGTATCTTTCCACCATTTTTCTTATTTCAGTTTTTCTCTAGCATTACCTCGCTTTACCCTAATGTAACTTGTTAAGGGCTCCTGCTGAATCTTGTGCTTTATGAAACGCCTCATTCAAGAAATTTGATTTCTTCCTCATCAAGACTCTTTTGCCTTATATTATAGTGCCTGATACCTTGGCCCTTTGGAAGGAATTTTGTAAGCCAACTAATGGAAATATATGTGATAAAAAAAAAATCAAGTGACATAATTCAGTAAACCCTTAACAGGTAGATTGTCTATAGCAAAAGTTCAAGTTTGGTTGGGATTATAAATTAGGTTTATAAGAGACGCTATATTTAAAAAATAATAACCTGATGAAATAGGAAACACTATGCCAGACAGAATTTAACATATCACTCTAAATAATAATAATAGTATAATACACTTGTGAAATACTCACTTTGTTCCAAACACGGTGCCTAACATTTATTCATTGTGCTATTGTATCTTCAAAATGATCTAATTAATTAGGTACTAATAGTATCTAATTTATACAGATGGGAAAACTTGAAGTCAGAGACTTTACATGGTTTTCTCAAAATGATATTTAGTAAATGAGAAAGATGCAATTTGAACCCAGATATAACAGGCATTAAAGCCTACTCTCCATTGAAACCATTAAATGGTCTTACTGTGCCTATTTCATTACAGGTGCATATAGAAATCACAGATATTTATTATTTCATTTTCTTCCTTCTTAATTGCAATCCAAATTGTATTTTTAAACCTCAATTTTATTATACTAGTTAGAGAATACAGGCTCAGCCAATTCAAGATGTTCTCTCTCTGTTTCCTAGGGTTGTTTCTGAATTCAATTCAGTTTCAAGAATTATATATGTGTGATGCAAAATATTTTAGGTGTTTAATTAGAGTTTTCATCTCTTTATTCTACCAGTGACTTTTCTATCATTATTCGATTCTAATTTAACCTGTGGTCGACTATTGGATTCTAGTTTAACCTACAGTCCACCTAGCTGCCTGCTGTGTTGTCTGTTTATCTTATCCAGGAGTTTCCTTGGATTCAGCTCTTCTCTTTCAGGTCATTAGGAGTCCACTCTTCAAGCCACAGAAATCTTAAATATCTGATTAGCACTATTATTTACTTAATATTTTAAAAATAATATCCCACCAGATAATAAATGAATATTTCTATCTCTTCAGCAACTCTATGCTTCTTGTATGTCTTCAGCAACTCTGTTAAACAAATGAACAAGCAGTTTTATACCCATTCTGCACAAGATAAAATTGAGGCTTTATACATTATCTAATGCTTTGTGACTAAAATCTGGTAGAATGAGAAAAATAATCCAAATATTATATATTCCCAATTTAGAGCTTTGAAAGTAAAACAAAAGTGCTGCATAAATCAATCAAAGGAAGTGATTGTGTGTGGTCAGGAGGTTGAAGTATATAGAGAATAGAAGTATTAAATAAGATTAGAAGCGGCTTCATGACAAAAGTGTCATTTTAAGTAGATAAAGAAATAAACAAATACCACATGTTATCACTTATAAGTGGGAGCTAAATACTGGGTACACACAGACATAAATATGGGAACGGTAGTCACTGGGGACTCCAAAAGAGGGAAGGCAGTGAGGGAGGAAGGTTTGAAAAACTGCCTATTGAGTATTTTGTTCACTATTAGGGTGATGGGATCAATAGAAGCCCAAACCTCAGTATCATGCTATATACCCATGTGACAAACCTATACAGGTACCCCTGAATCTAAATATTTTCTAAAAAAAAGTATATCTTTTAAAATCTCTCAAAATTCATTAATAGAGAACAAATTCCTATTTTTATTACATAGAATTCTATTATTTTGGTGTATAATAATTAATTGTATCAATCCCCTTTGAGGAACATTTGTTTTTCTCCTAATCTTTGGTTGCAAACTTTGCTACAATAAGTAAAATTATTTTACTTGTAATCAAGTATACATAAGGACCAATTCTGTAAAGAGGAATTGCTGGGTTGACAGAAGTAGGCTTCAGAAGGTGGGTAATAACAAACTCCTTTGAGCTAAAGGATGCACGAGCAAGTACATTTGCAATTTTGATAGATACTGACAAATTGGAGGGCTAATTATTTAATAACCATTATGTATTTTAGGATGCTCATTAAGAGTGGTATTGTAACAAGAAGCCACAACAGAAAATTTTAGTTACCTAATAGTGACTATTCCTATTGAATTTGTATCTATAAGGACTGTAAAAACATTGTCTTGAGTTTCTCAGAAGTCACACCTGATGCCCTGAAGTGGTAATATCTTCTACAAAGCAGGTGATCACTTTTTATATTATTATCTTATTCCATGTTCACTCTGTAAAGAATTTTAACTGATTTAAGACATATAAATTTACTCCACAAAAAAAAATTAACATCAAATGATTTGGAAGGAGTAAGTGGATGGAAGAGAAGAAGGTGGCTATAAAATAAGAATAAGACTAATGGGGGTGGCTGGCAAGAGGGTCAAATAGGAACAGCTCCAGTCTGCAGCTCCCAGCGAGATCAACACAGAAGGCAGGTGATTTCTGCATTTTCCAACTGAGGTACCGGGCTCATCTCATTGGGAGTGGTTAGATAGTGATTGCAGCCCACAGAGGGTGAGTAAAAGCAGGGTGGGGCATCATCTCACCCAGGAAGCACAAGGGGTCGGAGAACTCCCTCCCCTAGCCAAGGAAAGCCATGAGGGACTGTGTCATGAGAAACTGTGCATTCTGACCAAGACAATATGCTTTTCCTATGGTCTTCACATCCCACAGGCCAGGAGATTCCCTCGGGTGCCTATAACACCAGGTCCCTGGGTTTCAAGCACAAAACTGGGTAGCCATTTGGGCAGACACGGAGCTAGCTGCAGGATTTTTTTCCTACCACAGTGGCACCGGGAATGCCAGTGAGACAGAAGTGTTCAATCCCCTGAAAAGGGAGCTGAAGCCAGGAGGCAAGTGGTATAGCTCAGCAGATCCCACCACCATGGAGCCCAGCAAGCTAAAATCCACTGGCTTGAAATTCTCACAGCCAGCACAGCAATCTGAAGTTGACCTGGGATGCTTGAGCTTGGGGTGTGGGAGGGGTGTCCACCATTACTGAGGCTTGAGTAGGCAGTTTTCCCCTCACAGTGTAAACAAAGCTGCTGGGAAGTTCAAACTGGGAGGAACCCACCACAGCTTGGCAAAGCCGCTGTATGTAACCCAACTGCCTCTCTAGATTCCTCCTCTCCGGACAGGGCATCTGTGAAAGAAAGGCAGCAGCCCCAGTCAGGGGCTTATAGATAAAACTCCCATCTCCCTGGGACAGAGCACCTAGGGGAAGGGGCGGCTGTGAGCACAGCTTCAGCAGACTTAAACATTCCTGCCTGCCGACTCTGAAAAGAGCAGCAGATCTCCCAGGACAGCTCTAATAATGGACAGACTGCATCCTCAAGTGGGTCCCTGACCCCATGCCTCCTGACAGGGAGACACCTCCCAACAGGGGTCGACAGACACCTCATACAGGAGAGTGACAGCTGGCATCGGGCAGGTGCCCCTCTGAGACAAAGCTTCCAGAGGAAGGAACAGGCAGCAATCTTTGCCATTCTGCAGCCTCTGCTGGGGATACTCAAGCAAAAAGGGTCTGGAGTGGACCTCCAGCAAACTCCAACAGACCTGGAGCAGAGGGGCCTGGCTGTTAGAAGGAAAACTAACAAACAGCAAAGAATAGCATCAACATCAACAAAAAGGATGTCCACACAAAAACCCCTTCCGAAAGTCACCAACATCAAAGACCAAAGGTAGATAAATCCACAAGATGAGGAAAAAACAGTGAAAAAAGGCTGAAAATTCCAAATACCAGAACGCCTCTTCTCCTCCAAAGGATCACAACTCCTCACCAGCAAGGAATTAAAACTGTATGGAGAATGAGTTTGACAAATTGACAGAAGTAGGCTTCAGGAGGTGGGTAATAACAAACTCCTTCAAGCTAAAAGAACATGTTCTAACCCAAAGCAAGGAAGCTAAGAATCTTGAAAAAAGGTTAGAGAAATTGATAACTAGAATAACTAGTTTAGAGAAGAACATAAATGACCTGATGGAGCTGAAAAACACAGCACGAGAACTTTGTGAAGCATACACAAGTATCAAAGGTGAATCTATCAAGTGGAAGAAAGAATATCAGAGATTGGAGATCAACTTAATTAAATAAAGCATGAAGACAAGATTACAGAAAAAAGAATGAAAAGGAACGAACAAAGCCACCAAGAAATACAGGACTATGTGAAAAGACCAAACCTATGTGTGATTGGTGTACCTGAAAGTGACAGGGAGAATGGAACCAAGTTGGAAAACACTTTTTAGGATATTATTCAGGAGAACTTCCCCAACCTAGCAAGACAGGCCAACATTCAAATTCAGGAAATACAGAGAACACCACAAAGATACTCCTGAAGAAGGGCAACCCCAAGACACATAATCGTCAGATTCACCAAGGTTGAAATGAATGAAAAAAATGTTAAGAGCAGCCAGAGAGAAAGGTGGGTTACCCACAAAGAGAAGCCCATCAGACTAACAGTGGATCTCTCTGCAGAAACCTTATAAGCCAGAAGAGAGTGGGGCCAATATTCAACATTTTTAAAGAAAAGAATTTTCAACCCAGAATTTCATATCCAGCCAAACTAAGCTTCATAAATGAAGAAGAAATAAAATCTTTTTCAGACAAGCAAATGCTGAGAGATTTTGTCACCACCAGGTCTGCCTTAAAACAGCTTCTGAAGGAAGCACTCAATATGGAAAAGAAAAAAAAAATCTGGTACCCGCCACTGCAAGACATGCCAAATTGTAAAGACCATTGACACTATGAAGAAACTGCATCAACTAATAGGCAAAATAACCAGCTAGCATCATAATGACAGGATCAAATTCACATGTAATAATATTACTCTTAAATGTAAACAATTTAAATGCCCCAATTAAAAGACACAGACTGACAAATTGGATAAAGAATCAAAACCCATCAGTGTGCTATATTCAGGAGACCCATCTCATGTGCAAAGACACATCACATAAGCTCAAAATAAACGGATGGAGGAATATTTACCAAGCAAATGGGAAGCAAAAAAGGCAGGAGTTGCAATCCTAGTCTCTTATAAGACAAACTTTAAACCAACAGAGATAAGAAAAGACAAAGAAGGGCATTACAAGACGGTAAAGTGATCAATGCAACAAGAAGAGCTAACTGTCCTAAATATACACGCACCCAATACAGGAGGACCCAGATTCATAAAGCAAGTTCTTAGAGACCTACAAAGAGACTTAGACTCCCACACAATAATAGTGGAGACTTTAACACCCCACTGACAGTATTAGACAGATCAATGAGACAGAAAATTGACAAGGATATTCAGGACTTGAAGTCAGCACTGGGCCAAGCAAACTTAATAGACATTTACAGGACTCTCCACCCCAAATCAACAGAATATACATTCTTCTCAGCACCACAATGCACTTAATATAAAACTGACCACATAATTGGAAGTAAAACACTCCTCAGCAAATGCAGAAGAATAGAAATCATAACAGTCTCTCAGATCACAGTGCAATCAAATTAAAACTCAGGATTAAGAAACTCATTCAAAACCACACACCTACATGGACACTGAATGACCTGCTCCTGAATGACTACTGGGTAAATAATGACATTAAGGCAGAAAAAAATAAGTTATTTGAAACCAAGGAGAACAAAGGCACAACATACCAGAATCTTTGGGACACAGCTAAAGCAGTGTTTATACAGAAATTTATAGCACTAAATGCCCACAGGATAAAGAAGGAAATATCTAAAATCGACAGCCTAACATCACAAATAAAAGAACTAGAGAAGCAAGAGCAAACACGTTCAAAAGCTAGCAGAAGACAAAAAATAACTAAAATTAGAGCAGAACTGAAGGAGATAGAGACACGAAAAACCCTTCAAAAAATCAATGAATCCAGGAGCTGTTTTTTTGGAAAAGATTAACAAAATGGATAGGTTGCTAGCAAGACTAATAAAGAAGAGAGAAGAATCGAATAGACACAATAAAAAATGATAAAGGGGATATCACCATTGATCCCATAGAAATACAAACTACCATCAGAGAATACAATAAAAACCTCTACGTAAATAAACCAGAATATCTAGAAGAAATGGATAAATTCCTGGACACATACACCCTCCCAAGAGTAAAACAGGAAGAAGTCAAATCCGTGAATAGACCAATAACAAGTTCTGAAATTGAGGCAGTAATTATAGCCTAACAATTAAAAAAAAGCCCATGATCAGACAGATTCACAGTCGAATTCTCCCACAGGTACAAAGAGGAGCTGGTACCATTACTTCTGAAACTATTCCAAACAATAATAAAAGAGGGAGTCCTCTCTAAATCACTGTATGAAGCCAGCATCATCTTGATACCAAAACCTGGCAGAGACACAACAACAAAAAGACAATTTCAGGCCAATATCCCTGATGAACATCGATGCAAAAATCTTCAGTAAAATACTGACAAACTGATGAAAAGCTTATCCACCACATCAAAAAGCACATCAAAAAGCTTATCCACCACAATCTAGTCAGCTTCATCACTGGAATGCAAGGCTGATTTGACATGCACAAAACAATAAATATAATCCATTATATAAACAGAACCAATGACAAAAAACATGCTATTATCTCAATAGATGCAGAAAGGGCCTTCAACAAAATTCAACACCACTTCATGCTAAAAACCCTCAATAAACTAGGTATTGATGGAACATATCTCAAAATAATCAGAGCTATTTATGACAAACACACAGCAAATATTATACTGAATGGGCAAAAGCTGGAAGCATTCCCTTTGAAATCTGGCACAAAACAAGGATGTCCTCTCTCACCACTCCTATTTGACATAGGATTGGAAGTTCTGGCAAGGGCAATAAGGCAAGAGAAAGAAATAAAGGGTATTCAAACAGGAAGAGAGGACGTCAAATTGTCTCTGTTTGCAGACAACATGATTGTCTATTTAGAATACCCCATTGTCTCAGCCCCAAATCTCCTTAAGCTGATAAGCAACTTCAGCAAAGCCTCAGGATACAAAATCAATGTGCAAAATTCACAAGCATTTCTATACGCCCATAATAGACAAACAGAGAACCAAATCATGAGTGAATTCCCATTCACAATTGCTACAAAGAAAATAAAATACCTAGGAATACAACTTACAAAGGATATGAAGGACCTCTTCAAGGAGAACTACAAACCACTGCTCAAGGAAATAAGAGAGGACATAAAAAAAATGTAAAAACATTCCATGCTCATGGATAGTAAAAATCAATATCGTGAAAATGGCCATACTGCCCAAAGTAATTTATAGATTCAGTGCAAACCCCATCAAGCTACCATTGACTTTCTTCACAGAGTTAGAATAAAACTACTTTAAATTTCATATGGAACCAAAAAAGAGCTCATATAGCCAAGACAATCCTAAGTAAAAAAAACAAAGCTGGAGGCATCATGCTACCTGACTTCAAACTATACTACAAGGCTACAGTAACCAAAACAGCATGGTACTGGTACCAAAACAGATATATGGACCAACGGAACAGAACAGAGCCCTCAGAAATAAGGCCACACATCTACAACCATCTGATCTTTGACAAACCTGACAAAAACAAGCAATGGGGAAAGGATTCCCTATTTAATAAATTGTGTTGGGAATACTGGCTAGCCATATGCAGAAAACTGAAACTGGACCCCTTCCTTACCCCTTATACAAAAATTAACTCAAGATGAGTTAAAGACTTAAACATAAAACCTAAAACCATCAAAACCCTAGAAGAAAACCTAGGCAATACCATTCAGGACATAGGCATGGGCAAGGACTTCATGACTAAAACACCAAAAGCAATGGCAACAAAGCCAGGATTGACAAATGGGTTCTAATTAAACTAAAGAGCTTCTGCACAGCAAAAGAATCTATCATCAGAGTGAACAGGCAACCTATAGAATGGGAGAAAATTTTTGCAATCTATCCATCTGACAAAGGGTTAATATCCAGAATCTACAAGGAACTTAAACAAATTTACAAGAAAAAAACAAACAACTCCATCAAAAAGTGGGTGAAGCACATGAACACTTTTCAAAAGAAGGCATTTATGCAGCCAACAAACATATGAAAAAACTTCTTCATCACTGGTCATTACAGAAATGTAAATCAAAACCACAATGAGACACTATCTCACGCCAGTTAGAATGGTGATTATTAGAAAGTCAGAAAACAACAGATGCTGGAGAGGATGTGCAGAAATAGAAGCACTTTTACACGGTTGGTGGGAGTGTAAATTAGTTCAAGCATTGTGGAAGACAGTGTGGTGATTCCTCAAGGATCCAGAACCAGAAATACCATTTGACCCAGAAATCCCATTACTAGGTATATACCCAAAGAATTACAAATCATTCTACTATAGAGACAAATGCACACTTATGTTTATTGCAGCACTATTCACAGTAGCAAAGACTTGGAACCAACCCAAATGCCCATCAGTGATAGACTGGATTAAGAAAATGTGGCACATATACACATATATGGAATACCATACATCCATAAAAAAGGATGAATTCATGTCCTTTGCAGGGACATGAATGAAGCTGGAAACGATCATTCTGAGCAAACTAACAGAAGAACAGATAAGCAAATACCACATGTTCTCACTCATAAGTGGGAGTTGAACAATGAGAATACATGGACACAGGGAGGGAAACATCACACACCAGGGCCTGTTGGTGGGGTGGGGTCTAGAGGAGGAATAGCATTAGGAGAAATACCTAATGTAGATGACGGGTTGATGGGTGCAGCAAACCACTATGGCACGTGTAAACCTATGTAACAAACCTGCATGTTCTGCCCATGTATTCTAGAACTTAAAGTATATTTTTTAAAAAACCTGGAAAATATAGAAAAGTATCAATAAAAATTATTCTCCTCTTCCACCCTGAAATAAACAAAAAAAAAAGAATAAAAGTAATACAAACTTCTCCAAGATTTTGCATTTAACATGGATTTGTATTAGAGAACCTAATGTGTGTTTGAATATTTTAATAAATGTAAAGAATTATTAACTCTGCTCTCTGTTTCCAACTAATTTACACACTATTTTATCATGAATTTATGTTTTGTTTATGCTACATAATGCATACTTATTTTTACAGGACCTTTCAATATTATATTTTAAAGAAGAAATGATGGCAATGCTGTATAGCATGTAGCAGTGCATAGAATATTTAGATACAAGAAGACTTTCTGTATTACCTGAATAGACACCTCATAGATTACTTACGCAAAAAGAGACAACATTATTTATGTTCTATGGTAGTAAGGCATCACTGATACGGTGACTTAAAGAACTGAAAAATTTTACAGAAAATTTAGTGGACCACATCATAGACACTATTATATGAGAGTCACTTTACACAGGTTGATTAATTTAATGTGGTTAACCCTACTAGTTAACATAGTTTTTCTCACTTTAGTGGTAGGGGAAATATGGTTCATAGCCTAAGAACTTGATAAATTAAATTGGTTGAGAATTGAGTGCAAGTCTTTTCTACTAAGGGGCCCTCCATTATCACTTATTATAGCTTAGTCCTTCGCCATCTTTGCTGTAGACACGCAAAAATATTTTTGTAAATCTTAAAGTCTTCAAACAACCTATGTTGGGACACATCTTGAAATGAATCTTATATGGGATAAATCTTCTCTCTCATACAAAGTAAAATAATTAACTATTTTCATTTGTCTATGATGTGTATTGTAATAATTCCCAACCCCCCCGAAAAAAAAAAAAAACAAATT
Source organism: Homo sapiens (assembly GCF_000001405.40). Classification (NCBI taxonomy): domain Eukaryota; kingdom Metazoa; phylum Chordata; class Mammalia; order Primates; family Hominidae; genus Homo; species Homo sapiens. The sequence continues at coordinate 104,492,037 of NC_000003.12, forward strand.
GAAAGAATGGAACAATGAGCACACATATGCACACTTTCAAAATTTATCAACATTTTGTTCCACCTATATGCAGAGGTATAATTTATATTAAAAATGTGCTGTTTTAAAATAAAAAAGTTGAATGAGTTTTGATAAATATGAATAGTAATGTAAGAGAACTAGTACCATCAGAACATAGAAGACTTCTGTCTTCTGGATTTTTGCCATCAGTTCCTTTTTAGTCCATTACTTTACCTCACCCCAGTCCTTGGCAAAAATGTATTTATTTTCTTTTCCTTTGGTTTTACCATTTCTAGAGTATCATGTAAATGAAATAAGACTATATTTAGTGTTTTACATCTGGCTTCCCTAACATACTGCTTTAGAGTTGCCATTTTGTTGCATACATCAGTAGTTCATTCCATTTAATTGTTCAGAAGTATCTTATTGTATGGATATACTAAAATTTCTTTACCCACTTCCAGATTGAGGGAAACTGGTTTTTTCTTAGTGTTTGGCTATTATGAATAAATCTGTTATAAATATTTGTTTACAGGTCTTTGTGTAGTCCTACATTTGCATTTATTTTGAGTAAAAACCTAGAAGTGACATAACAAGATCATATGATAATTGTTTATGTAACTTTACAATTAGGTACTCTAATGCATTTCAGGTGTTCTACTCCCTCAAGAAACTTTCAAACTGTTTTCCATAGTGTCTGCATAATCTTGCATTTCTACCAGCAAGTATGAGTTTCATTTGATCCATGTAACCAAGACTTCGATCTATCACTTTTTTTTTCTTAAATTTTACCCATTCTGATGGATATACATGGGTATCACATCATGTTTTTAATTTGCATTTCGCTGATGAGAAATGTTGAAATCTTTTCATGTGTTTATTATTGGTATATATTCTTTATTGACATACTACTTCAAATCTTGTCTATATTTTGTATATGGTTTTCTTACTATTATTGAGTCCTAAGAGCACTTTTTAATATTCTGGGCACAGTGCTACTGACAATTTTCTTCAATTCTGTGGCTTGTGTTTACATTTTCTTAACGGTGTGTTTTGAAGAATGGAAGTTTCTAATTTGGTGACACCTGTAAACTGTAATAGAAAGTTTGATTTTATTTTGATCCTTTTGGACAGCTTTCATGCCCAACACATATCACTTTGCGTTGTGCCTCACTTCTATGAAAGCTGATAAGAAATTTCAGGTGCTCGGGTGGGTGCGGTGGCTCACAGCCTGGAATCTCAGCACTTTGGGAGGCCGAGGTGGGCAGATCACAAGGTCAGGAGATCGAGATCATCCTGGCTAACACGGTAAAACCCTGTCTCTATTAAAAAGACAAAAAATTAGCCAGGCGTGGTGGCGGGCGCCTGTAGTCCCAGCTACTCGGGAGGTTGAGGCAGGAGAATGGCCTGAACCGGGGAGGCGGAGCTTGCAGTGAGCCGAGATTGCGCCACTGCACTCCAGCCTGGGCGACAGAGCAAGACTCGGTTTCAAAAAGAAAAGAAAAGAAAAAAAAAAAGAAAAGAAAAGATAAAAAAGAAATTTCAGGTGATCAACTCCCTTATTTGTTGTGGGCAGGAAGCTCAAATCAAGGAAGCCCCAGCTCATGCAGGAAAACCCTAGCTCCACCGCATAATCAGAATAAAACACCAAAGCCAATCACTTCTTGCTCTAGAAGTTTGTGTTGATTTTCCCAGAAAGCCTCATTATGAGAGCTGAGGCGGGAAGATCGCTTGAGCTCAGGAATTTCAGATCAGCCTAGGTAAAATAGCAAGGCCCCATCTCCAAATAATAATAATAACAATTAAGGAATTAGCCTATTTCTGTCCTCTTGGTACACGTGTGGCATCATCAGTCTTAATATTTGTATCAGTTGTCTATTGATACTGTAACAAATTACCGAACACGTAAACTGACTTTAAAGAGCACAAAGTTATTGTCTTAAGTGTTCTATGTTTTAGAAGTTTCACTGGATGAAAATTCATGTAGTGGCAAGATTAATGAACTTTATGGAGTCTGTGGGAAATAACTAATTGCTTTGCTTTTTCCAGCTTTGAGATATCACTTGTAATCCTAATACGATAGCTTCTTTCTGCAACTTCAAGCCCCCAGTGTTGCATCTTCAAATGTCTTTCTGACTCTGGCCCCTCTCCTTCCATATTCAACTTTATTCTTACATCAAGTCCACACAAATAATCTGGATTATTTTCCCATTTTGAGGTCCGCTGCTTAGCGACCTTAATTCTATTTCCACCTTAATTTTCCTTTATTCTATAAATTAACATATCCGCAGGTTATTAATCCTCAGAATAGATATTCCTTTTTGCCTAGGTGTCCGTAGGGTTTTTAAACTGGCACAATAGTTCACACTTGGCTTTTAATAATTTGGTAAAAGTACAGGCTTTTTTTCTTTTTGCTTTGATGGTTTCTACCTCTTTTTATATTCTCTACCAAAGTTGAAACATTTTATGTGGCTCCATTTCTCCTCAGAGGTGTTTGGTACTCTCTGAAATTCAGTCCCTCTGGCCTCCCTGCAAGCTTAGCTCTCAGATAAGCTCAAAAGTATAATTTTGTAGATTATTCTGCTTTTTCTGGTTTTTAGTATATGGCATTTACTTACAGCCTTTTAAATTTTCTTTTCTTTTATCTTTTTTCTTTTTTCTTTTTTTTTTTTTTTTTGAGTGAGAGTCTTCCTCTGTAGCCCAGGCTGGAGTGCAATGGCGCAATCTCAGCTCACTGCAACCTCCGCCTCCCAGGTTCAAGCCATTCTCCTGCCTCAGCCTCTGGAGTATCTGGGACTACAGGCGCCCGCCACCATACCCTGCTATTTTTATTTATTTATTTATTTAGTTGTATTTTTACTAGAGATGGGGTTTCACCATGTTGGCCAGGCTAGTCTCAAACTCCTGATCTCAGGTGATCCACCCGTCTCAGCCTCCCAAAGTGCTGGAGTTACAGGTGTGAGCCACCATGCCAGCCTTTTAACATTTTAAGTCAAAATGCAACCTATTTACTGCTTAAAATTCCTTTCAGTATTAACATTTGGATCCACACGCAGAATGAGCATGTAATTCAAAGTATTTATAGCTCTGTGACCTCACTCTATGACTAAAACTATGTTTTCTCCTCAAGTAATAATAGCACACATTTATGGAAAAATTAGAAGATCCATGAACAGTGCTAATTGTTTTACATGCATTATTCTCATGTAATCAGCAAATCAACCCTTTGAGGAAGTGGCCTTATGATCCCCATTTATATAAGAATATCCTAAAGTGCCTATAGGCACACAGCTAGATAGAATGTGGCAGAAAAAAAAATCCAAGTTTTAAATTTCATACCTATACCCTTAATTATTAAGTAATAGAGTCCCCATTTAATAATCTATTCTTATGGACAAGTCACAAATGTCTGCCTCATTTTGTAAGTCATGACAAAGCCTAAAGTCAGATTTCTGAAATATGTAATCATACTAGATCTTTCAACAAAGGCGCCATAAATATGTGAATATAGTCTCAATCTTCAGTTACGAAAATAACCCTGGCTCATGTTTTTGTATTCCTCTTTTTAATGGGACCCCTGCCACAAGTTTCAGGTTTATGCCAGATGGTTGTAAATTGAAAAACGAATAAAAGGGGAAATAAAATATCCTTTTCCTTCTGCTCCCTGGCCACAGATATCCAATAAAAACAATAGACAGCAGATTAGTTTTGATAAGTAATTGACTTTTACCAAAGAGTATGTTACCTTAAGAAAAAATCTGACAAAAAAGTTTTATGTGACACTAGGGAATGAGTGTCCTTTTAACAAAGTAAGAGAAAAGGAACTCTAAACAAAGGTAGAACTTCTAATATATATTTCTAGTAATAAAGAGCTCAAATATCCAAATATTATGAATAAATATTAAATTATTTAATAGCTTAATCATATGACTTTTAATATAGCAACACATAATACATGTAAAATGAAAAATGTTATCTGTAAATACACCTGGACATTTTTACTCTTGTAGAAAATTGTTGCTTGACTATGTTTCATACTGCCTCATTTTCATTTTCAGATTTGAATTTTTTTTAGCTCATTTATTTATTCAATAAATATTTACCTCAGTAAACCAACTTTGTGACAGCAGTTTTCCAGGTACTGAGAATAAATCTGTAAATAAAACAACTCAATATTCCTATGCACATGGAGCGTACAAACTAGTAAGGAGAAACAAGCAATCAACAAACAATTTAAATCTATAGCCTGTCATATGGTGATAAAGATTATGGAAAAATTCTAGCAGGGAAGAACATTAAAGAGGGCAAAGGTCAGGGTACCATTGTCAATAGGATGCTCAAAAGAGACCTCACTAACAAAGTGCCATTAGTGTGAAAATCTGAAGGAGAGATAGAATAAATGCATCGGCCAGGTGTGGTGACTCACGCCTGTAATCCCAGCACTTTGGGAGGCCAAGGCAGGCGGATCACGAGATCAGGAGATCTAGACCATCCTAGCTAACACCTTGAAACCCCGTCTCTACTAAAAAAAAATACAAAAAATTAGCTGGGCGTGGTGGCGGGTGCCTGTAGTCCCAGCTACGTGGGAGGCTGAGGCAGGGGAATGGCGTGAATCCGGGAGGCAGGGCTTGCAGTAAGCGGAGATGCGCCACTGCACTCCAGCCGGGGAGACAGAGCGAGACTCTGGCTCAAAATAATGATGATGATGATGATGATGAAAATAATAATAATAATAAATAAATGAATCATGCAGAGATTTGTCTAAAGAGCACTTGAGATTTAGAAAAGGAGCCAGGCAGAATCCATGAGACAGGCACATGCCTGGCAAGGAAGCCAGTATGATTTGGGAGGGAATAGGATGTGAGGTTAGAGAAAAAAGAGAGGGCCAAAGAATGAAAATTCTTGTAGGTGACTTCTTGTAAATTCGTTGGCTTTTATTCTCACAAAGATGGGAAACTATGAGGAGTTTGAGAAGAATGAGAGTATTGGTCTTATATTTTTAAAGGATCACTCTGGCAGTGTTCATTTGAGAATAGACTCCAGTCGGCTAAGAGTAGAAGCTGACACAGTGACAAAGTCTGATGCTTTATTTTTGCAGCTTATATATGCTGGAATTTTATCTTTCCAAGTATTGCCTTATGTTGCTACTTATTTACAGCTGCATAAAATCCTTTTCTACAATGGCATCACATGATGTTCTGTGGTTTTCTTCTGTATTACAATGGATAAAAGAAACGACCCCCTTGAGGAAAGATAAATGACAAAGGTGAGTGGCAAGGTAATTACAGAAAGGTTCCCTCTATGTTTTATAAGCTTTAATTAAGTCCTACAATGTCCTCTAATGCACAAATACTGTTAAACCTATTTTGCAGAGGGTGAAAATGAGGCAAGCTGAAAAGTAACCAATCAAAAAAGTTACAAGATCAGAATTGGTTTTTTCTATGAAAAATATGCTCATCCTTTTTTTATAGATGAAAAACTCGTTTCTATCTCCATCAGTTTTTCTTACTATTTTCTTGATGCTCTGTTTTTGGCTTACAGACTTTCTTTTCCAGGAGAGAATTAGGAAGTAGGGTCATGCGAGGAGCTGAATTGAGCTCCAATAGTCATAACATGGTAGGTGAACTGTTGGAGATTAATTGCTTACTGACACTGTCACTGCTGAGCACTCAGAATGTTTTAGCTTTACTGGTTTCATTAAATGTATAGTAAGAAAATCGTTTGGGCTATTGAAAAATTATTCATATAGCTGAAAGGAAGAGTAAGGATGTGAAGAAGCAAAGTTAGTGGCAAATCCCAGATATTTTAAGGTGTTTCATTGTGAGAGGCAGTTTAATATAAAAGACATGTAAAGAATACTGACTATTGATTCTTTCCAGATTTTGATTCATTTTATAAAACTATTTTGAGGAACATGTCTTTTATGTTGAGATCTGTTTTGTGCACATGGGAGATAAGAACATAACCTAAGGTCATAGTTTAGAGCAGAAGCAAAGAAGTCAGACACCTTGTATTTAAATGTAGCTTCTGCCACTCAGTGTTTGTATTACCTTGTAAACACTACTAAACCTCTTTGTGTCTCATCTCTTCATCTATGAAATGGTAATAATTATAACATCTTACTGAGTTTTGTAAGACATAAATAGATAATATATATTCTTAGGACAAATATAATAAGAGCTCAATAAGTGTTATATGATTGGTATTATTGTCATATTCATTTAGGCATGTCCCTGCCTCAAGTAGTTTGTATTGTATCCTGAACTATAAAAATAAGGCCTTTCAAAGAAAATGTGACGTATGTGATAAAGCAGTTAGTTCTACAGAAGTTCAGAGTAGGAAAGGATGAGTAATGTGGTACAATGGCCACAGAATCATGTAGAAGGCTTTAGTTGTGAGCCAAGCCTTGAAAAAAATGTATTAGAACTGTGGTTCCAACAGATACAGTTCAAGAAGAATGGCTACTCAGGACAGAAGGAACCTGTGTAAAATTGAAACTGCTAAGGTGAGTTTTCATATTTTATAAGAGAGAGATAAAATAAGATCCTATGTTAAGGTATGATTTGACTATGGAGAACACAAGAGGCCACATAGGTGACTTAGAACATTGGAAGCTTTTGAGATCTCACTTTATTTAAGAAGTGCTTACAAAATAAAATGGCAGCAGAGTCCAGGAGAGATGCCTAGTTGCAGTCTGAATGAGCTAGTATGGGGTTGAGTCAATAAAAACCTTCCAATTGTGAGCAGCTAAAACTACAACAAAGGCAGTGGGGCGAAAAAATTGTTTAAGTTTCCCTAAAAAATTACTAAAGAGTATAATGACTGATTAGATATAGAGGGAGACACCGAGGGAAACTGGGATGAGTGACAGTGGCTCCAAAAATTTAGATAAACTGGAAAATGTTGACAGAGACTGGGAAAATATCATGAGTCACTGGAAGAAGGGGGTGAGTTGGATGGATTGGTCAGTTAAAATTTGGAAATGTTAAGATTACTATGACGGAGAGTCAAGTGGAAATTGCCATCCATTGGACTGGAGTTCAGGAAAAGTAAGATAGATATAAAAAATAATATGAAAAAGATATAGAGTTTCTATCACGTATTCAAACTAAAATAGTTTCAGCATGTTTCTAGATAGATTTTTTTTTATTATAACATTCAGAAAAGGATGGAAAAACCAGTTAAGTCTAATTATAACCTATGAACATAGGGGAAAAAACTCGTTGTCACATTAAGCAAGAATTCAAAAAATAACAAACACTTAACCAAAAGTTCTGCACTGTAAAGCCACTTTTCTTCTTTCTCAACCTAACTTGTGTGTATAAACTAAATCAGGCAGCTGAATGGGAGGATCTTTTGAGCCCAGGAGTTCCAGGCTGCAGTGAGCTATAATCGCTATAATCACGTCACTGCACTCCAGCCTGGACAACAGACCAAGACCCGTCTCTTAAAAAACAAACAAACAAAAAAAGTATAGAACGTTTATTTTTAATTTAGCACCAACCATTCTTTCATCTCTTAAGAACCTAAATAGGAACAATTCTAATAAGTAGCTGGGGCTGGAATAATAAATTGCATAAATCTATTTGGAGAATTAACATGGAAAATTACAGTGTCACAGTGATTATTTCCTTATATTTCATTAGTTGCGATCTCCACAGAGTATTTAAATAATTGAATTTGTTACTTTTAAAAATTATTTATTTATTTATTTATTTAATTTATTTATTTTGAGATGGAGCCTTGCCTTGTCACCTAGGCTGGAGTGCAATGATGCAATCTTCGCTCACTGCAACCTCCACCTCCCAGGTTCAAGCGATTCTCCTGCCTCAGCCTCCCAGCTAACCGGCGCCAGTCACCATGAGCAGCTAATTTTTGTATTTTTAGTAGCGGCGGGGTTTCACCCTGTTGGCCAGGCTGGTCTCGAACTCCTGACCTCAGATGATCCACCCGCCTTGGCTTCCCAAAGTGCTGGGATTACAGGCATAAGCCCCCAGGCCTGGCCGAATTTGTTATATTTTAAGAAAGTAGTTCTGCCCTATGGGGCTTTGAAGCAGAGGTGCAGATGAATGGAGGAGATACAGTGCTTTACACTGAATGGATCCAGCCAGCTATGGTTTCCAAGCTCTTGAGCCTGCTCTTTACAGTTTCCTTTAAAATGGTTATATTTGCTCTGGGAAGGTAATGCCAATAATCAAGCTTATTAGATGTGTACATAATTAAAGTTAATAGTCCTTGATAGGTGTCTTGAGGGCCCTTCAATGAGGAAAGGACATGAGATTTCAAGGCATGGGCTTCATAAAATCTCTTTTGGTTACTCAGATACATTCTGTAGTTTCTTTTTGTTTCAGAGTGAATTTGAGGATACTCAGACAATTAGAACATTACTGTGAATACATCCCTAAATTTATTGTTTATTATCATGTAATATACCTTATTAAAATCTCCTTGCAAATTTTCAAATTATTTCTAATGCATATAGAAAATATGGCAGATTTTTAAACATTTAAATTGCCACCAAATTAAGAATGTTAAATTCAATATTGAGAAATAATATGAATTAAAACATGTAAAATTTAAAAACTGTTTCAGACATATCCTGAAGTATTGAAATTTTCCTAAATGTTATGTGAATCCCATTTTTACAGTTAAGAATGCAGGAATTCTATTTTATGCTGATAAAAATCGATTGGAGTTCTCGTACAAAGGTGGTCCCTCCCTTCACAAATTTGGTTGGGAAATTTCAAACACCATTCTGTGAGGAAGCCAGGAAGTATTAACTTCAAACTTTTCAGCCCCATCCCACACACATATCTTCACATGAAGAAACTAAAGCACACAGTTACAGCAGATGTCACATAGCTAACAGTTGTGACCCTGGGATGTAAAATGTGACTTTTATTAAAGGCTGTTTACATATGCCCTTTGATTTTGTCACCATTTGGAATTTTTTACTGGTTAACTTTTTCCAAAGTGTCAGGCTCTTGCTATGGGTTTATTGTCAACTCTCTCCGTGATTTTCCATCCACCTCTTTACTCCCTTCTCTCCTCACTCCTGTACATTTTTATTGATTAACTATATAGAGAATTCAGCTATCTCTTTGTGTTTTCATCATCTTCTGTATATCAGAGTTTAAGCTCACATTCAGTAGTACTTACAAATTTATTTCCAGTTATAAAATGATTTCCTGCCTATGATGAATTCTAGCATTATGTATTAAAATAGCAATTCATATTTTTCTTTTCCCTACAAAATATTTAAGTATAACATCATTCACATTACTTTATCAGGATTCTGGCTAAATACATTGCTTTATATTAGTGCAGTACAGCTCTGGACAAACTGTTTTTTCTCTTTTTAGTATCCTGGAATTTGGGGGAACATGGTTGCTCACAAAATGAGTCTGGTCTTTTGTTTTCTAGATGTCCAATATGCTCAAAAAGCATTGAAATCATTTAAAGTAATATTTAAGCCCATTTATACTGACATTGCCTTAATGAATATGAGAATTCTTTGCATTTTAGCTGAATATCCTCACAGTTTTAATCTACACATTCTAAGACCCGTATAGTATTAAAATTTTCCCATGTGATGAAGCAAGAAAAATAGCTATAAGTGGGAATTATAAAATGCAAGTATGTGGTACTGTCTTGGTCCATTTGTGTTGCTGTAAATGAATACTTGAGGCTGGGTAATTTATAAAGAAAATATATTTATTCGACTCACAGTCCTGCAGGCTGTAAAAGAAGAATGGCACTAACGTCTGCTTCCAGTGAGGGCTTCAGGCTGCTCTCACTCATGCTGGAAGGCCAAGAGGAACCAGCATGTGCAGAGATCACAAGATAAAAGCAGAGAGACAGAGAGAAAAGTGCTAGACTCTTAAACAACCAGCTCTCACAGGAACTAGCTGAGCAAAAAATTCACTCAACACTCTACCTCCCAGAAAAGATATTAATCTATTCATGAGGGATCCACTCCTATAACCCAAACACCTCCTACTAGGCCCCACTCCCAACACCGGGGATCAAATTTCTATATGAGGCTTGGAAAGTCAAATGTCCAAACCATAGCAGATACTTACACAAATCTAAAATTTACTTGTATGAAAGAAGTTTTATATTTTTAGCTCAAAAAATGAATATATAGATTTTTTTCAATGGATAGTAGTAATTGACTTTCTACACTGAGATGAAAAAGGAACAAAGTTTGTTATACCAGAATATTTCAAAGTAAATAGCACAGAAATATATGTGATTGTCTCCAGATGCTAAGTAGGAAGTACTTTTGATCAAGAAATGAAAAACCAGGTGGCAAAAAACAACCTACAAGGGATTATGAGAAACCAGACCAATATAAGAAATTGAGAAAAATCTGGATCTATATTTAATATTTCATATATATGTTTTTAAATTAATGAATAATATTTCCACATTTTATGGGGTACATGAAATATTTTGTTAATTGCATAGAATGTGTAATAATCGTCAGGATATTTAGGTTATCTATCACCTCAAGTGTTTATTATTTCTGTGTTGAGAACATTTCAAGTTCTCTCTCCTAGCTCTTTGGAAATAAAGCATTATTATTAACTATAGCCACCGTACTCTGATCTCAAACATTGTAACTTATTTCTTCTATTTAACTATATGTTTGTACCCATTAACTAAGGAGGAGCTGGAGAGACAGGTGGTGGATCAGTGAAGAGCCAGGAGCAGCTGGCTGCGGAGCTTGCGGAGTACACAACCAAGATCGCACTCCTGGAAGAGGCACTGAGGCGCAAGGAGGATGAAGTTGAAGAGTGGCAGCACAGAGCCTGAGAAGACCAGGATGACCTGGTGAAGACCAAGGAGGAGCTGCACCTGGTGATTATGGCACCCCCCGCCCCCACTGCCCCTCGTATAGAAGCCGGTGAGCTACCATGTCCAAGACAGTTTGCAGGACGAGGGCTCTGAGCCCACGGGCTACAGAGCGGAGCTGTCTAGCGAGGGCATCCGGGATAACCGCAATGAAGAGAAACACATCACCGAAGCGGAGAAGAACGAGCGCGTGCAGCGGGCCCTGCTGACGCTGAGCGGCGAGCTGTCCCAGGCCCGAGATGAGAATAAGAGGACTCATAATTACATCATCCACAATGAGAACATGGGGCAAGGTGGGGACAAGTACAAGACGCTGCGGCAGATCCGGCAGGGCAACACCAAGCAGCGCATCGACCAGTTCGGGGCCATGTAATGGCCAGGCCAGGACCGAGGGCAGAGAGACGCTCTGCAGCGGGTGCTGCCGCCCTCACCTCCAGCCTCCTCACGCTTGTGTCTTTAGTGCTCCAAGTCTAGGAACCTCCTCATCAGATCTCAGTTCCTTTAAAAAGCAGTTACCCATGAGAAACGTCCTGGTCTGAGAACCAGTGGAGGCGCCTTGGTTTGTTTTCCCTGATTGTATCATGGTGCCAAGCAGGCCAGATTCTGGCGATTATCTCGAATCCACCTCCTGTGTTGTGCTGGGACCCGGACTGATTGAAATAAGGAAAATGCCTGTAAAGTCTGAGTAACAAACTTCATGCTGGACAGTGTGATACGAGATTCAGTATCATTAAAGGAAACCATGCCATGGCTTACACCTGTGCTATACTTTTTCTGTATTTGAAATGAGCTCAAATTGATTGATTTCTTGTTTTTAATTTATATGAAGGATCCATCTTTGTATATTTATGTGCTTTTAGGGGTAAAAAGTTTGGAAATTGAGTCTGAAGCACTCTTGCACACACACAATGATTCTCTCCTTCCGTCACTCCACGCAGCTGGCAGAGATCGCAGTGGTCACCAGCGTGAGCGGCGTACGAGGACACTCGGATAAATTTGAAGAAAAAAAAATTTATTTTGTTTTTTGCTTAACAGTTAGAAGAATACATTGTTGGACTCATACACCTAATTAATGATCAGTTATATAGTATTATATATATTATAATATTATACAAGTGATAATATGGATTTGTAACATTTGTAACATTAGTTTTAAAAAGGGAAAATTTTGTTCCGTATATTTTGTTACCTTTACAAAATAAAAGAATTACATATTAAAAACCAAAAAAAGAAAAAGATATCAAAATGACAGAAGTTTTTACCTATCTATAACAAACTTGAACGTAAACAATTTAAATTCCACAATTAAAAATTATGGACTGGCTGAATGGATTAAGCAAAAAAACAAGACCTAATTACATGCTGCCCTGAAAACCTCATTTCATCTGTAAAGATACACATAGACTAAAAGTGGAGGAATGTAAAAAAAAATGCACAAAAACGGAAATGAAAAGCATCTGAGAATAGCTATACTTAGATATAACAAAATTTAAGTCTAAAAATACAAAAAAAGACAAAATAAGTCATTATATAGATAGAAGAGTCAATTCAGCAAGATAATTTAATAATGGTAAATATATATGCACTTAAAACTAGAACACCCAGGTATATAAGCATGTATTGTTAAAGCTAAAGAGAGAAATTGTTTCTAATACAATAATAGTTGTGGACTACAACATCCTGTATTTAGCATTGGACAGACAATGTAAACAGAAAATCAACAAAGAAATATTGGACCTAATCTAAACTATAGGCCAAATGGACCTAACATATATTAACACATTTCATCCAACAGCTACAGAATACACATTCTTCTCGAAAGCACATGGAACATTCTCCAGGATAGATCATACATTAGGCCACAAAATAAGTCTCAACAATTTTTTAAAATAGAAATTACATGAAATATATTCTCAGACTACATAGACTAGAACTAGAAATCATAGCTAGACAAATTTTAGAAACTGTACAAATACATGGAAATTAAACAATATGCTCCTGAATGACAAAAGGGTCAATGAAGAAATTAAGAAATAAATTTTATCAGGCATGGTGATGTGCACCTGTAACCCCAGCTATTCTGGAGGCTGAGGCAGGAGAATCACTTGAACCAAGGTGGCGGAGGTTGCAGTGAGCTGAGACCGCACCACTGCACTCCAGCTTGGATGAAGGAGCAAGACTCCATCTCAAAAAAAAAAAAAAAAAAAGAAAGAAATTTTTAAAATTCTTGAAGAAAATGAAAAGGAAAAGGAAACACAATATACCCAAACCTATAATATAAAGCAAAAGTAGTGCTGAGAGGGAATTTTATAGCAATAATGGCCTATGTTAAAAATTAGAAGGATTTCAATTAAATAATCTAACAATGCACCTCAAGGAACGATAAAAGCAAGAATAATCCAATCCAAAGTTTAGGAGATAAAAAGAAATATAAAAAATTAGAGCAGAACTAAGTGAAGTGGAGACTATAAAATAGTACAAAGAATCAATAAAATAAATTATTTTTTGAAAAGGACAAAATTGACAAATTACTATTAAAATTACAAAGAAAAAAGAGAAAAGACTCAAATAAATGAAATTAGAAATTAAAAAAAGGAGACATCATTACTGATCCTACAGAAATAAAACGGATTACTGGAATCTATTATGGATAATCATATGTTAACAAATTCAAAAACCTAGAGCAAATGGAAAAACTCCTAGACACATATAGCCTACCAGGATTGAACCAGGAAGAAACATAAAATTGAACAGACTAATAATGAGTAACAAGATGGAATCAGTAATAAAAAATATTTCAACAGAGAAAAGCCCAGGACTGAATAGCTTTAATGCTGAATCCTCCCAAAATTTTAAAGAACTAACACCAATTTTTCTTAAACCTTTCCAGAAAATTGAATAGGAGGGAATTCTGTATAACTTATTTACCTTGTCAGTAGTATCCTGATACCAAAACCAGGTAGGGACACAACAATAACAGAAAACTACAGGCCAATATTTCTGACAAACATAGATGCAAAAATCCTCAATGAAATGCTAGGAAACTAAGTCCAACAACATACCAAAAATTTAATGCATCATGGTGAACTGCTGTTTATCCCAGGGATGTAAGAATGGTTTTAACATATGCAAATCAAGAAATGTGTACATCATATGAACAGAATGAAGGACAAAAGCCATAGGTTTATCTCAATAGATGTAAAAAAGAAAAAAAGCACTTGAGAAAATTCAATGTGCCTTTATGATAACAACTCTCAACAAATTAGTCCTATTTTTAGTTTTTTGAGAAATCTCCATGTTGTTTTTCATAATATCTGTACTAATTTATATTCCCACTAACAGTGTATAAGAGTTCCCTTTTCTTCACATCCTTGCCAGCATTTGTAATTTTTTGTCTTTTTGATAATAGCCATTTTAAGGGGTGAGAATGATATCTCATTGTGGTTTTGATTTCCATTTCCCTAATGATTAACGACGCTGAGCATTTTTTATATACCTGTTGGCCACTTGTTTTTCGTTTTTTGAGAAAACGATTTCTCATTTTTTTAATGTGCATATGTTGGTATTAACCACATAATTACCACATGAGATTATGACTAATTTGACAGTTTCCCCATTCACCTGCATAATCCCATTCTCAATTCTTTCAGATAACACAAGTTAATAAGTTAGTGGGTATCCTTCCTTAATTTACCCCCATGTTCATATTATCTAGATAAGATGTAGATACAGACTTATTATACACAGGTATATTGTAATAGGCTTTGTCATAATTGCTCTTTTCAAACCAGAGTTATATTTTACACACGGTTTTGCATTTTGCTTTTCGTTATAAGATTTTGCAAATTCTGACCTACCCCCATGCCCAGTCTGTTTACTTGTTGAGTCCTAATTCATTCTTGTTAATAGTTATATATTATTCCATGGTGGATATGTAATATACAATGTATTTAATTACTTCTCATCACTAATCATCCATTTTATTTCAGTTATTTTGCCATAATAGGCAAAAATCCTTGAATATATAACCGTTTCAACTGGGGCATTTATTTCTAAAGGATAGGTTTCCACAAGTGAGATTTTTGTGTTAAAGAAATAAGCATTGTTTTTTCTTAAAAAATTTTGCAAGAATACCTTCATAAAGAAGTATAAAATTGTAGTTTC
This sequence comes from Homo sapiens, assembly GCF_000001405.40. Classification (NCBI taxonomy): domain Eukaryota; kingdom Metazoa; phylum Chordata; class Mammalia; order Primates; family Hominidae; genus Homo; species Homo sapiens. The sequence goes on from NC_000003.12 coordinate 104,507,058, forward strand.
TATTAAGGGTATATGATAGTGCATTTTCCCCTACATTATTAACTACATTCATTTTAAACTTTTTTTCTAAACTAGAAGATATAAAGAAATATCTCATTAATTTCAATTCCATTTTTTTAAATTCTAGTGACTTTATGCATCTATTTATGTTTCTTAACCAGTTGCTCCTCTGTGATTTGCCCATCTTTTCATTGGCTTGTATATCTATGTACAGATTATAGATTATCACTTTTATTATAAATATAGCACATTTATTTGATATTGTCATTGCACCTTTTGAAATATCTGGTCTTTTTACTCACTACGTATGGCGTGTTTTGCCACACAAAGGCTTTTCATGTCTACATGGTGAAATGTTCATTTTTCTTTTATGAATTTTGTGCAATTAGCATTTCCTACCGTGGAATATGCCTCACTGGTTTTTGCTTCCTGTTTTGATGTATCTGGAACTGATTTTGTAACTGGTTTAAATGCTGCTCCAATTTTATTATATTTCAAATGGATAACCTATATTATTTTATTTCTAAATAAACTATTCTTTTGCCATATATTAGAAACTACATTTCCTATATATTAGAATCTCATTTTAGGGGATCTATTTCTGGATTGTATAGTCAGTTCCACAGGTCACTAGCTTTTTAGATCTGTGTTCTGATAGCTGAAAAGGACACTAACCATTCATCATTCTATTTCTTCACATATTTCTTTACTATTTGCCAGCATCTATCCTTCCATATAACTTCAAAGAGAAATGGATGCTGTTTTTAAAAGAGGGAATTTTAATTAGAATTGTTTTAAATTTATACACTGTATTCAAATTTAGTTGAATGACTATAGCGATACTATTTTCTCATACAAGAAAATGGTAAACCTAGGATGTGCTTTTCACTTGTTATGATTAGTTTTCCATCAGTTAGTACAACTTCTGGCTATATTTATATTGGTCTTTGGTCAATACTAAATTTAATCTTTAAAGGTTATAAATTTTTTACCATCTTAAAAATATTATTTTCCATTTTTATTTTTTAGTATTCAATTTAGTTATTATTTTTCTGTGTTTAGCTTGTATGAATCTGCTTTACTAAGTTTTTTAATTGATTCAGTCTAGTTGGGCTTCTTTTTCTAACTAGAACCTCCTCTTTGTTTTTCTACATTAAATGGCTTTAGAGTTGATTCCATGAAGCTATTTTTAAATGGCTATCCAGTTAAATAACTAACATTTATTAAAAAGTCCAACTTTTCTACTTATTTACAATGCCTGCCTTGATTTTATATATTACATTTCTAAAATGACTTGGATTTATTTGTAGGCATCCTATCTTGTTCCATTGTTTGTCTCTTCTTCTAGTAAAACTACACTATTTTAATTTTAAAAAATACTTCATATATAATTGTGTTAGGACTAACTCTCCCACATTGTACTTTTTTCAGTAATTTTTATCAAGATCATGTTAAATTTGTAAATTAACTTAAAGAAAATTGACACATTAACAGTGTTGAATACTTCTATCCATGAATATTTGTTCAATTCTAGTTTAATGTCTTTCTAAGGTGTTTTACATATTGCTTAGATGGGTCATACACATTCTTAGGTTTATGACTCTCTCTCTCATATATATATATGGCTTTATAGGCTATAAAAATGAAGTCTTCTTATTTATTTTGTCTTTTGTTAGTTATAAATGTACATGCATAGCTATAATATATAGTTACATAGTTTTATACATTTAGTTAGCATTATATGATACACAAAATTCATTGTCTTACTTTATATATTAATTTTATATCCTGCTATTTGCCTAAGTTATTTTACTTTTACTTTAAGTAGTTTTTTAAAAAATTCTTTGTTATATGTTTACACAATTATGTTAAACCAAAAAAATAATGATTATACTTCCTTTCTAATCCTTGTTCCTCAAATACATTTCTCATGCTTATTTTGATTGCCTTTTATCCCTAACATATATTATTATATAGTTGTGGCAATAGTGGACATCTTTAACTTGTTTCTGATTACAGCAGGAAATAAACCTGTCTTTAGTCCAAGTACATTGATGACTTTCATTATATATTTTTGATATTTAAGAAATATATTGCTGGGTATGGTAGCACACCTTTAATCCCAACACTAGGAGGCTGAGGTGGGAGGATCACTTGAACACAGGAATTTGAGGCTGCAGCATTGAACCATGTTAGTGCCACTGCCATACAGCCTAGGTGACAGAGTGAGACCCTTTCTCAAAAAAAAAAAAATTATTAAATCCAATATTTTAGGGTTTTTTAAAAAAATTGATGTTGAATTTTCTTCAGTGCTTTTTCAACATCTCTAAACATATTTACATTTTTCTCCTTAGATAAATTAATACAACTCACATTGACAAATTTCTCTATGTCAAGTCAGAATTGTTTTTCTGAATGAATTTCACAGGCTCATGATGAATTGTTTTAAAAAGTATATATTTATTTATTAATAGTTTGAGATTGTTCGATGATATTCACGAGATAGTTTGTTAAAAACATTTATTAAACATTTGCCTTAACTTTATACTTGATTCACAAAAAATAATTTAATGTATTTTCTACTTTTTATGCTCTGCATTTTTTAAGAACATTTAGTCTAGTTGAGCTTCTTTAAAAGTTTGGTCAAATTTAACTCTGCCAAGGCCTAATGCTTTGTTTTATAGAAACTTATGTAAAACTCTACTTTCATGACAATTTTCTGTTTTGAGTTTCTATCCTTCGTGGGTCACTTTGGCAAAATTATATTTTCCTAGAAAACCTTACATTTCATCTAAGTTTTCAACTGTGTTTGCTTAGCAATGTGCAATGGATACTCCTATTAGTTTTTCAAAATTTAATCCACTTTAAGGGTTATTTCTTCCTTTCCTTTTTTATTTCTAGATATCTGTTTTTTCTCTACTTTCTCTTTAATTAGGTTGAAATAGTTTGTCTTTTCGGTTGATGTCTGTGAACCATATTTAATTTATATATTAGTTTTACATGTTTATTTGTTTTCTAATGCAATAATCTTTTTTTACTTTATGAATTATTTACTTTGACTACACCACTTCCAAGAGAAGAACCACTTTTCTTTCTTTTTAAAAATATTGTATTAATTTCTCATTTTGTTGCTGTCATGGGGCAGATAACCATAGATACATACTGCTAGTAACTCACAATGCAAATTTAAAGTAGGGTTTATTGGGGGGAAGCAAACCAGCAGAGAAGTAGCAGACCACACACAGTTCTGTGAACCTGTCATTTCACAGTATAGGCTGAGCATAACTGTGCTGAATGCACTTGGAACAAGGTTCCAGCTGCCTGGACATCTAATTGAGAGGCCTCCAAGGTCAACTATGAGCTCCACTCCAACAAAATGTTTGTGGAGTTTCCTAAAAGGGATTGGGGAATACTTAGTTTCTCTAAGTAACAAAGAACCAGTAAAAGAATCTCCAGGCCCAGAAGTGATGTTAGTGATTCTGCGAGTCAAGAGCCAAAGTCTTCATACTAAGACCCCAGGGCAGGGAGAACAGCCTTGCATGCCAGCCAGACTAACATTAGCCAAAAATATTGCTTCTACATAAATATCCTCAGGGCAACTGAAACTGAGCCAACTCTCTTCTGAGCCTCTAAAAGGAGAAAGGAAATCAGCCTCTGATGCTATTCAGATATATCTCACGGCGGTTGCACCATGGTCAGAAAAAACTTCCTAATATTCATAATGTTGCAATTTATTCAAGTTTTCTTTGTCTTCTACCATGTGGTCAGATTTCATGCCCTTGTAGAGAAGGTTCTTATATTGGAATATGGAGTTTGATATACCCTAATTGTTTATGTCTAGTGTGAGAGAAGTACATTAAAATCTGTTTTTGTTCTCTTTGTTTTTCTTTTCGTCCATGTCTATTTTACCTTTCATTACTTACTGGGTTTTTTAATAACAGATGTTACTAGTTTATTTAGTGCCCTGATATTAATAATTGTCACATTCCATTAGGAATTACAACTTTTAGTATTAAAACAATTGTCTTATTTAATGCATTTGTCCTATTTCAGTTTTTTACAATTTTTTTTGAAGTGTTTTTCTCAGTCACTAGGAGAGGGTTGCTCTACAAGCAGTGGTGATGGACTAGAGTATCTTTTTTTTAAACTTCCTTGGTTTTACATTTTGTATGACATTGTTACAGTGGAGAACTCAAACCATGATATCTTTTTATGACCTCTTTTTGTCTCCCAGAGATTCAGGAATGTGTTTTCTTACCTCCTGCTCTATGTTTCCTAGAGCCATATAGTCCTTGTTTTCAAAAACAATTTTCTTACTTTTAGATGTTTATTTTGCTGTACAGTAATATCTGGATTTTCACTCTCCTGGGTATTTTGTATCTTGAAATCTGCACCTATTCTCTTTCTTATCCATAGTGTTTTTGCTTTGCTCAACTTCATACCTTTTCCTATGTCTCCTCTAAATCAAACTCAGTCCTTATGGGAGGGAAAATTTTTGGATATTTCTGAAAACCACAGCAGTATTTGATCTTCTATTGTTAAGTATTTATGGCTATGTTGTTTCTTTGTCTCTGCCTTTACTTACAACTTAGGGCTCATGAAGAAGTATCCCAGATATTTCTGATGTCCTGGGATTCACTCAATCAAGTTTCTTCTTGAAGCTTTGTTGTTGTTGTTTTCCATTTGGGGTTTTAATTTATTTTAATTAATTATTTATTTTGCAATATTAAGGTTCCAGAACTGACAGGGTCAGTTTCCCTTTTATTCCTACTATACATGTCAACAAACTGCTAATTTTGCATTGCTCCTGCTGTTGGTGGTTTGGCCATACAACCCCCATCTGCATGTCTTGAGCCTCATGGTGATGCCACATTTCTTAGTTTCTACTTTATTGAAGATATTTTCTGTGGAATATTTCTTTTGCTGGCCAAATAGACTTTTGGCTTTTAGGAGGAGTTTGGGGCAAATTCAAAATTATGCAGTCACAATGATCCTACCACCCACAGTAAAAATATTATGTTTTTTTGTGTGTAACCATCACAGCCTTACAGTTGCAAAAAAAATAAGAAATTGTTTTTCTCCACACAAACAGAGAATGTTGTTTGGTTTTGTTTCATGCAGTAATTTGTAAGATGTATCTCCTCTTCTCTTTAAATTGCTCAGCATCACTAGAAGGAGCTTTAGCACTCACTTTTTTTATGCCTTTCATATTGTTATATGTTCACAAAGTTTCATTCCTTAATACTAACTATTTACTTCTTTTTATACCCAACCAAGTGGGAATTTCCTCCAATCTCTGACGATCTGTTATTTTAATCGCCACTGGTAGTATTTTTTTAATCAGTGAGGTTTCTTTATTTGAAAGCAAATAAAAGCAACCCAGTTATAAGCAAGATTCAGTTTATTAAAGTGATTGCGAGAAAGCCATTTAATTTCTTACAGGCTAGAAAACCAGGCTTGGAAGATATGTGGCCAGGAGCTATGCCCAAAATTATACAGATTTGTTCAGTGAAGATCTTTCTGCCAAAGCACCTGAGAAAAGTTATTTTAGCTTGCCCTGCTAACATTGCTCACATTGGCACTAGAAGCCACCCCTAGGAGCAATGTCATTGGTGCCTCTGAAACTAATTGCATGTGGAAGCACTGCTGTCACTTATTGTCTAAATAGATCCTCATGCTCTTCTATTCAATTTATAGGATAGGTCATCTCATTGAGGAACCTAAGATATATACATATTTTCTACTAAATAGCTGTAATAGTAACAAAAACTCAAATCTTACATTTTTAGTTTCTTTAGTGGGAGATAGTTATTACTGCATAAGTTGAGAATACTCTCAACAATAGAAGTGTATGCTTATTGAGCAGCAGAGAAGATGAAGTATGTCACTACAATAATAATTTGCTTCCCCATATTATGATTTTTTAAGAGGAACGTGAACTTTTTATGGCCATTATATGTGGATTGGCTTTGAGAGAAAACTATGCATGTGTGTGTATAAATATATCCATGTATATGTGTGTACATATATATTATATATACTGTCAGAAAGTTAAAAGTTTCTCTCTAAAGTCTAAGAGTTTAAGTCAGCTGAAATGAATTGACAATAGATTAATGGAAGAAAATGTGAACAAATATAAATTTATTAATAGCCACATGGATAGAGGAATTCCAAAAATATTGTTACAGGATTCCTTTGGTGCCACTTCTCCTGCTGGAAGTCCCTGCAGCTGCCATGATCTTTTTCTGGGGCCTCACTTGGGCTTGCTGGTCTTGCTCTAACCACTCAGTCTGGCAGGCTGTGCTCGGCTCACAGCTTGCCCCAGATCCCACACCAGAACAGAGACACCATGCTCAGCCCATGGCTGGACCAGGGGTACAATGAGTGGCTTCCACATTGGGCACCTGTATTTAGACAAGGGGAATGTGGTGGCACTCAAAAACTCAGAGATGCCAGCAACCATGGAGCCCCAGGTGGTGTTATAGCTTTCGCCTGGGGATTCCTGAACTCTGAGCCTCCAAGAAATGTTTCGGCTTTTGTAGTACAGCAAGCCAGCCAGGAGGGAATGGTACCCAATGGCTTCACTTCTTTGAGCCCACAGCTAGGAGAATGGGGGCATATTACAGCTCTCTCATTCCCATTGCCCACAGCTCTGCGAACAGGAGGGTTGACACTCATTTGTTCCTGCTGCCTGAAGCTCAGCGAGTTCTGGGCTCTTGTTCCAAAACCAAGAGGAATAAGGTGCATGGGCACCAGAGAATGAGTAAGGCAGAGAAGAATTTTAAGTGACAGAAGGAAAGTTCTAAAATGTGAGATGGCACCCTGAAGTCAGGTTGCCATCAGCTGCAAGAGGGAGCCCAAAAGTGGGTAGCCCTTTTTGCAGCTGAGTCTGGGGTTTTTATGGGCTCATAAAATAGGGGAGTGTGTGCTGATTGGTTCATGAGTGGTCTTAGAAAAAGGACCATTCAATTGGTTAAAAGGCATCGAGGAAGTTCTCACTCCGGTCATGGGCTCTCTGTGGAACCAGCAGCTTGTTTTTCAGGTTTCAGGCTGTCTTTGGCTTGAAGACTGGATTTCTCTGGGGACACGTCCTTGTCTGCCTAGGAATTTGTCTGTCTCCTGTCACTATCCATATGAGACTCAAACAAAAGCCAGATAATTGAAGTTTTTATATTGCACATAAAGGAATAAAGGCTTGAAATACGGTGGCAGGATAAGGGTGGGAGAGGGAGGAAAGATGTTGTTAGCAAAATGTGTCTTGCTATGCATATGAAGCCTGACAAGTAGCAGCCCTCAGAAAGAATAAATGGTAGTCTCTGTTAGATCTTTAAAAGTGTTAAACTTTCATTCTCCTTCTCCTGTGAGTTAATCTTTCCTAGATTTGGATAAGGGAAACTCAGAGAAAGCTTCTGCATCTGCTATTGACTAATGTAGATTTTCTCTACAGATGCAAATCTCCCCCACAAGGACAGCTTTTCAGAACTATTTCTGTGTCTGCAGTCCCTCTAAATAGACATTTCGAAATATGCCAAATATATTTTGGGGTGTCATATTTTGGTTTCCTTGAGTCCCCCATTTGAAACTTTATTTCCAGAAAGTTTCACATGTTAAAGTAAAATTGGTAGCTATGGTGATTTCTTTGAATTAGAAAATTTAAGAAAAGAGATTGGCAGAGGGGAAGAAAACATAGATTGGAACAAGCAGAATGGAAAAATATTGAGTACACTGCACCACATCTTCTTGAATCAGTATCTTAGTCCTAGAATAAGTCAGTTAAGTTAAATAATTATGTCTTATTTCAGGAGGTAACACTGCAGATGTACTTTTTCAAGGTGAAGGCTCTATGTCAGAGATCCCCAACCCCTGGGCTGCAGATCAGTACCTGTCTGTGGCCTATTAGGAACTGGGTCACACAGCAAGAGGTGAGCCACAAGTGAGTGAGCATTACTGCGTGAGCTCAACCACTTGTCAAATCAGCGGCAGCAATAGATTCTTATAGGAGCCTGAACCTTATTGTGAACTGTGCAGGTGAGGGAGCTAGGTTGCATGCTCCTTATGAGAATCTAATACTTGATGATCGGAGGTGGAACAGTTTCATCCCAAAACCACACTCCCCCACCATCTATGGAAAAATTGTCTTCCACAAAAATTGGTCCCTGGTGCCAAAAATGTTGGAGACTACTGCTCTACATGGTGCAAGCACACACATATTTTACTAGAGATTTTTATTTGGAAACAAAAACAAAGGTTAATAATGTCTGCAGCAATCTTTAAGTTAGTCTCTGAGTTTGGAGGGTAGCCAGTGGAGAAGATTTTTGAATCTGGGCTGAATCAACTTCAGCTGGACCAGGGTAATCAATGGCAATCTGACAGAGTTATCTACTTTGCTGTTTAAATGTCATAAAGGTTGTCTAAACACAGGCCACTGTGGTGGTTTCTCTGGAGTCTGTTTCTCAACTATACTCACTTTAGCTCGTAGAACCTCAGGAAAAACAGTTTTAATTATTAGTGATTCCAAGTCAAAAGGTTGAAAAAAAAATGGAAATGATGTTTTGGAGATTTATAGCCAGATACACGATGAAATTAAAAATATTTGGTATTCAGTCCAGATAACAAATAAAAAATAAAATCTCAAAAATAATTATCTAAAATCTAATAACAGGTGTACTATAATTTTATTCTAAAACACGATTTTTTCTCTACTTCCACCTCCACTTCTACCAAAGATGTCTATGTTAAGACTAATTTGGTTGCAAAATAAGGTTAGTCTTTGGTGTGATTATTTACATAGTTTATTTATACAGATTATTTACATGGTTTAGCAAGAATAGTGATTGGTATTACAGGCTCTTTTTAAAGTCTGCTTTGCTGAAACTTTTTATAAGAAATCTCAAATTAGACTTCTTTTTAAAGCATCTCAAGACTAGGAAACCAAGTCAAAGATATGACCTTGAAATCTCCCTGCAATATCTGTAGTATCTGGATGAATTCCTCTCTGCTTGAGGTTCTCAAAATATCCTGACGTTTCAGAAGCTGCTAAGAAGTGGCACTCTTTACCTCCCTGTAAGACAACCATGTGAATTGTGTATTTAAGGTGCCAGGCCAGTTTTTCCAGGAACCTTTTTATTGGTTCCATAAAGTCAACCTTAATATCTTAAAGCACACTGGTCAATTTTAAAGGTATGACATTATGCTCAAAACCTTGGTAAAATGACCAGTGTTTCTAATTGTGTTCTGTTATACAAGAGAACAGATTCTTATTGAACTTATACAAATAACCATACTGCCATAAAATAAGAATACTCACAAATAGTTTCTGAAATCTGGAGGGGTCAGGTAAAGAGAAAGATAAATGTTTAAATGTTGCTCACAAAAGTATAGATTACCAAATTGCTATAAACCTATAGACAGTTTAAGAAAAAAAGTTTTCTTAACTTTAGAAAACAAAACGTAAAAAGAATCAGTAATGCTTCAAACAATGAAAAAAAGGCATAAAAATTATTTCAGTACAATGTAATTAATTCTTGTTTTGCTTGGTGTTAGGTTGGGAGTTTTATGAACCCATCAGTTTCTTCATAAGAGTTCTGGAAATTCTTATACAGTCCAATGACATGATTCTAAAGTTATCAGAAATCTATATTCAAGGGCACTTGTTAGGGTCTTTCCCATAATTCTCCTTGAAAAATAAGCAAATTTTAGACTGTAGCTGATTGCAAAGCACTTTTAGAAAGAGTATCAGAATAAAACAATTAACTGTGAACAATGAGACTTAAAGTAGCCATGGTTAAAGGTCTTATGGTAGCTTATTATCACCCATAGAGGACAAATAAATGTGGTAAGTTCTGTAGAATGTAAAATTTAACATAATATCCAAAAATTATAACTGACAACATACTAGATTTTTAGTAATCCCATACAGTTTTGGAACACTAACATTAATAACACATGCAGAACATTTAGCATCACTTACCTGACAATGCTTTCCATATAATTTGAAACATTGAATCAGGTTGATTAGTTTAATGTCTGTGCTTTAGGTGTTCAGGAGCCCACTGGCACTCCAAGAGTTATTTTGGCATCAAAAAGACCAAAGAAGGTCCCCAAATTTTGATTTTTGAGAAGTTTACTAAATATCAAATGATTAAAACACTTGATAAAAAATAGAATCACAGGGAAATATGAAATGCTAGTAATTCAGGGTAATAACTAAAATATTTTAGAAGCAAATACAGGAAGTTACATTTTTTGTAGAAAAACTTATCTTTAATTCAGTTTTCCTAAATAATCAAAAGGCCTAGTAAAGATAACTGAGGCACATATAACATGTTTCTCTCTTTCCCTAATTTTTTTTTTCTTTTTGTCCTTTACTCCAAAGGTGAACATAAAGCTTTTATTATCTCTTATTAATACTACATGAATATCCTTAAAAAGCAATTTCTAGTTTTGTATCAGTGTACTATTAATGATAAGTCTCAATTTTAAAACCCTTATATTAAATTTAGTAAATTTTTATCAGTTTAACGACACAGGATTTTTTTTCACTGTCTTTCTTTTCCCAACCTTCTATATTTATTCAGGTTTAGCTCAGTCATTCTTATCTCCATTTACTTATTTTGAGTCAACCTTTAAATAACCTGTACCTAGACAAAATGATTTCTTTCCTCAACAAAAACACGTTTATACCTTATAACATCTTAATTTGCCTGTATATTTTGTATACAGAATTGTTTCCTTTATTATTAGTAGTTTTAAGTATATATATTAATATTCAGTGACATAATCCTAATAATCTTAATTTCTAGTGAAAATCTAGGAAGTAAGCAACTTCAAAGTCACATACCAACCCATTTTATGACTATATACTTAATGACTTCTAGAAACATAGATTTCCTGATAGAACATATTTCCAATGTGGAAAAGGACATATTTGCTAACAAGCCCAAATATATTTTATCTTTCTATAAAATGTAAGATGCCAAATGTAAATAAACTGAAACCTATGTTGAGCAATTAATGTTTCAATCTTTTATCTTCTTTAGAAATGAACTAGATATTAAATGAATAGCCATCATTTAATTTAACTTAGCAAAATTCTAAGGATGTAGTTATCAAAGAGATACATCTTTATCTCACTCATATCTATTTGATTTACTGTTTTTTAAACCAACAATATTAAGCTAGTTTTATTTACAAAAAATGTATTCAATTCATATGAATTTGAAAATAATTTGAGTTAGTATCTATAATTTTAGGAGCCTAAAGTATTTAATATATGCATGTTCATTTGTCTTTTAAATCAATTTGAAATTCAACGAAGGGATTTTGTATCATGTGGACACAACAGATATCATAGATGTATATGTGTATAAACATAAACAATCATACAGATAGATACAAATATCTTATAGTTTTTTTCAAAAGAATGCTATCAAGTCCTAGAGAAGACAGGGTGAGAGATTTACATCTCAAAGGCATAGAGAAAGAACATAAGTTTTCTCAAGGAGCTTTGGGTGCTTTAGGTGAGACAAAGAGGAAGATTTTAAATGAATGCTAAGGTAATATAAAATCATAAGAATTAGAGGATTTTACAATAAAGTACACATGAAACTGCCTTTGCAAAAAATATGACTGAGACAATTATTATAGCGAAAGAGGTTTGACCTAACCAAATCCATCTAGCTTCTAACCTCCAAGCTATCTTTGTTCATTCCTGGGCATAGGTCAAACTAATTTTGGGAGACACTTAGTTTATAGTTTAGCATTGAAATAGAGGTGATAACAGCCCTTTCCCCAAACAAACCCCCTTTCTGCCTGGGGGACCAGACTGTCTTTGCAGGACTATCAGATTATGTAAAAGATTAGAAATTATGGTTTAGGAATCATGCAGTTGGAGGCTGCAAGATTCTAAACATCCCAAATTGTTTCTTGGGATAACATTACTATTGTAAAACCTAAGATCAATGTTTGAGATATTTTGCAGACCCTGCACTTGATGGATCAGCTAGCACTACCCAGATCCAAAAACTGGCTCATCTGGTCTTGTGGCCCCCACACAGGAACAGATTCAGCACAAGAGAACAGCTTCAACTCCCTAGGATTTCACCTCTGACCCAACCAATCAGCAATCCCCACTTTCTGACCCTCTACCCACCGAACTATCTACAAAAACCCTGATCCTCATGTTTCCAGAAAGATTGATTTGAGTAATAATGAAACTCTGGTCTCCTGTACAGCCAGCTCTGTGTAAATGAAACTCTTTCTCTATTGCAATTTCCCTGTCTTGATAAATCGGTTCTGTCTAGGCAAGGTGAACCTATTGGGCGGTTACATACAGATGAACCTAAAAGACAATTCGGAAGCCTGTTTCAAATAACTGTCTGATTGTCAGTTGGGTCTGACTTAGTCATATACCTGAGTCTTTTCTTACCTAAGCATGCAAAGAAATGAAGAAGGTAGAAAGTAAGAATTTGCCTTCTGCCGTAATAACTGGTTGCTGTAACATTGTTAGTTACCTTTAAAATTGTAGCTCTTACCAGTGACTTGTCAGTTATAAAGCAAGCCTTGGTACTCCACCTCCTAAGAGCCAGGAGATTAGGGAGCTTCATATGAAAGATAATAGAGCCTTGGACCTGAGAGGAACTGACTTCTCACTCTTAAGGCTTCGTGAGGAGGAAAAAGAGGGTCAGTGGCACCTTTTCTTCCTTCCTCAAAGAGTATCAAGATGACAAAAGAAATGGGGGCAGAGGTAAAAGGAAGAACAAATCCTAAAGCAGCAAACTGGGGAGTTTTCAAAAAGGTCGATAAAGTTTTATATTATTCTCAGCAGAAATCATGCCAACAAAAAAGGAAGTAGACAGAGGAACGAACATATAATTAAAAGGAGCTTCTGTGGACTAAAAGAAATTCCATAGTAGAAACAGGATCCAAAACAGAAAAAGCAGGGAGGCTTTTAAAAAAATTGTAGCCTGAATATCAGCTTTTAATTAAGTTAATTTTTGACCATAAAGCTCTTAAAAAAGAAATCTTTAAATATCTCATTAGAGGTTTTAGCCAAACAAACAGCAAACACTTCTGTTTCCTGGCTTTTCTTTCCTTGAAATTTGCATTTAAAAAGGAATTATTTCTCAGGTAAGACTGGAGAGAGAATTTACATCTCAAAAGACAAAGAAATAATGGAAGTTTTTAGAAGTTCAGGGTAATTACTAATCAAATTTCTTCTTTTGAATATAAAATTTCCTGTTAGCTCAAATGAGAATGCAGGAAGCAAACAGAAAAAGGAAAAGTTAAAAAAAAAATTATTCTCTGAATATAAACCAAAATCTTAACTAAAGATATATTTAACAAGTGACTCAAGACCAAACTACGTAGCCTCTCTATGGTTGTAACCAAGGACTCCAAAGACGAAACAGAAAGACGAAGTTCTTCCAAGATTCAGACCACTCCCACAGACCAGCCAAAAAATCAAAACTTCACTAGCTGCAAATGAGGTATAACTCACATTTCTGTTTGGCTATATTCTTGGGGCTCCTAAACTTTTGGTTGTCCACCTGTGCATGAAGGCCAGATCATTTCATATGACCTGGATAGATAAAACATCAAAATAAGAGATCAATCAATAAGAAAAAAAACAACAACAAAAACAAAACAAAACAAAACAAAAAAACCAGAAAAATAAGTCATCCACATTAGGGTTTTAGGAGCAGAACATATCCAAGTCACACAGCACCAATGCATGTTCCCGGCAGTAAATCTGTACTGGTCTGCCACAACCTCAATTCTTGCCTCCTCAGAAGAAATAATTCAACCCAGGAGGCATAAGGGGGAAAGAGACAAAGGCAAGATTTAGAGCAAGAGTGAAAGATTATTAAAAAGCTTGAAAGGCCAGGCAAAGTGGCTCACGCCTGTAAATCCCAGCACTTTGGGAGGGCTGATCACTTGAGGATCAGGAGTTGAAGACCAGCCTGGCCAACATGGTGAAACCCTGTCTCTACTGGGTGTGGTGGTGCACACCTGTAATCCCAGCTACTCGGGAGGCTGAGGCAGGAGAATGGCGTGAACCCAGGAGGCGGAGGTTGCAGTGAGCTGAGATCGTGCCTCTGCACTCCAGCCTGGGCGACAGAGCGAGACTCCATCTCAAAAAATAAATAAATAAATAAAATAAAGGGGGTTTAAAGTAGGAATGAAAGGAAGTACACTTGGAAGAGGGCCAACGGGGCAACTTGAGAGATCAAGTGTGCGGTTTGACCTTTTGACTTTGGGTTTTGTAAGTTGAGATGCTTCCAGAATCTTGCATTCATTCCCCCCCGATTCTTCCCCTGGGGTGGGCTGTCTATATGTGCAGTGGCCTGTCAGCACTTGGGAGGGGAGCAGGCACAGTGTGTTTACTAGAGTTGTATGCATGCATACACTTGAGGCGTTCTTCCCTTATCAGTCAAATGTCCCTAGAAAGTCATATACCAGTTAAACTCTGCCATTTTGCTTCTTAATGTGCATGATTGAGCCAACTCCTCCAAATCCTGACATCTTGTCAGGAAGCTATTGATCACCAGTTTCAGGTGTTTCTGTTTATTCGGAGACTGCCTTTCCCTGGCACTGACTGTGAACAATTATTATTTTAGAGAGACAGTTAACAACTGCCTGATCATCACCTGATGGTCACCTGACATTCCTGGTGTGTGTGTCAGGGAGTTGGGGAAGCCCTTTCCTGCTCTCTTCATGTCTGATTAGCTACCTACCGTAACAAGGGGTGGGGATGTAGGGATCATTAATGAATGTCAAGAGTCATACAGATAGTTTCCAAATCTCCAAATGTGTACCTACTTCATCTGTGACTCAAAACTATTATAATAAGCCCTTTTATGGCTTAAAATCAATAAACACAAGAATTTCATTTCAAAAAGGGTACACGCAACTCCTCCCAATATTTAAAGCTCCTCCCAAAGATAGTGAGGGAAGAGAGAGACCTTCTCATATTGTTTTACATTGTTTCATACTCAGTACCTATTTTAAGAAGAAACAAGGAAGTGAAACCAAAGGCAGGCAGCCCGGCACCAGGCACCAGACCCAAAACCAGACCCGAAACCAGGCCTGGGCCTGCCTAGTAGCTAAAAATCAACTCATGCCTTAGCAACCGATGTTATCCATAGATTCCAGACATTGTATGGAAGAACATTGTGAAACTCTCTGCTCTGTTCTGTTTCACTCTGACTACTGGTGCATGAAGCCCCTGTCATGTACCCCCTAGATTGCTCAAATCAGTCACGACCCTTTCATGTGAAATCTTTAGTGTTGTAAGCCCTTAAAAGGGACAGAAATTGTGCACTTGGGGAGCTCGGATTTTAAGATGGTAGCTTGCCGATGCTCCCAGCTGAATAAAGCCCTTCCTTCTACAACTTGGTGTCTGAGGGGTTTTGTCTGCGGCTTGTCCTGCTACAATAGCTCAAGAAAGCAAAGTTGGGCTGGGCACAGTGGCTCATGCCTGTAATCCCAGCATTTTGGGAGGCCGAGGTGGGTGAATCACGAGGTCAGGAGATCGAGACCATCCTGGCCAACATGGTGAAACCCCGTCTCTACTAAAATACAAAAAATTAGCCAGGCACTGTGGCACGCACCTGTAGTCCCAGCTGCTGCTACTCCAGAGCCTGAGGCAGGGGAATCGCTTGAACCTGGGAGGCAGAGGTTGCAGTGAGCCAAGATCACACCACTATACTCCAGCCTGGCGACAGAGTAGGATTCCACCTAAAAAAAAAAAAGAAGAAGAAGAAGAAGAAAGCAAAGACATTAATTGTTAGGCAATGAAGGCTGAGATAACAAAGGCAATTTTTTTTTGAGAACCTACACATTTGGAAAAACAGACATTTCAGATTCCCAGCCTAGTATATGTCTGGCAAATATGCCCTCCTGGGTAGTGAAGACCAGAAAATAAATTTGGGGATTACAAAGCCAAGTTTCTCAAGACACAAAAACAAGATGAAAGGAGAAGCTTATTATGGTTTTTCTCCTTATACCAAACCACACAAAGGACAGAGACAAGAAAAACAAGGACCATTTTTGGATGTTTAAAGATTAATTATCAATAGGTATAAAACAAGTCCACAAGGGACACAAATTTAAAGAACTAACTTTTAAAAATATTTTCTCTCCTTTAAATTTAGAAAGAAGGAAACACGAAAATGGAGTTTCACCACTCACCTGACTAGTCCTAAGGCAGAAACCCAAGGAGGATTACTGGTAAGAAATTTCTTAACTTTTTCTTTCTTTTTGCTGGCGTCTGTCAGTTTCCGTGGTTTCTGGCTGCAGCCTCGGGTGTGGGCAGAGTGATTTGCTATAATCCTGCCAAAGA
Organism: Homo sapiens; assembly: GCF_000001405.40. NCBI lineage: Eukaryota > Metazoa > Chordata > Mammalia > Primates > Hominidae > Homo > Homo sapiens. Next base: position 104,523,400 of record NC_000003.12, read on the forward strand.
TACCAAAACTGTAGAGAAGTTCAAATTTTCCCCCGAATGTTGAAGTCTGAGTCTGCTGAAATGAATTGACAATAGACAGATTAACAGGAGAAAAGGGATACAGATTTATCAATGTGCACATGGACACGAGAGGTCTATGAATATGAGATTGAAAGAAGAGCCAAATGACAAAGTTTTTATATTTTATAGAAAGAAATTGAGGCTTGGAGCATGGTGACAGGTTATGGGTGAGAGATGGGGAAAAAAGACTTGGTGACAAAGGCTGTCTTTTTATGCAGTTGAAGCCTCGCAGGTAGCAGCCCTCAGAGTAGACAGTAGTCTTTGGTAAAAGTTTCACTGTCAGGACTTTGTAAGTGTTAACGTTTTCATCTCCTTTTCTTGTGAGTTAATTTTTCCAAGATCCAGATAAGAATACCTTAATAAAAAGCCTCTGCATTTGCTATTTACTTTACTAATGAAAGTTTTCTCTACAGATGCAAATCTCCCCCACAAAGGATAGCTTCCAGAGCCATACTTGTGTCTGCAGTCCTTCTGAATAGCCATTTCAAAATATGCCAGAGAATTATATTTCGAGATGGCATATTTTAATTTTATTCTCTCTATATGATTATTAATCACTTTTTATGTTTAAAAAATGAAAAGCAACATAACAAGATTGTAAGTAAATACATTTTAAAATCTTTTGGAATACAAAAACTTATAACTCAACTTTAAAAAAATTAATTTAAATTCATAAAATTTAATCATAACTTAAAGTTATGATTTAAACTTAAAGTTAAGTTTTAAAACTTAAAAATATCTGGCCAGGTGCGGTGGCTTACGCCTGTAATCCCAGCACTTTGGAAGGCCGAGGCAGGCGGATCACCTGAGGTCAGGAGTTTGAGACCAGCTTGTCCAACATGGCGAAACCCTGTCTCTACTAAAAGTACAAAACTTAGCCAGGCGTGGTGGCCGGTAGCTGTAATCCCAGCTACTCAGGAAGCTGAGGCAGGAGAATCGCTTGAATCCAGGAGGCAGAGGTTGCAGTGAGCAGAGATTCCGCCACTGTACTCCAGCTTGGGTGACAAGAGCGAGACTCCGTCTCAAAAAAAAAAATCGTATTTTTATTTTGTATATAATTAGCATTACAAAATAATTGTTAAAAACATAAAATGTTATGTCTGTGATAGTTCAGAGTGTGAGTGAATGAGACAGCTAGGAAATTTAATACTAATACGCAATAAATATCATTTTAAAAAATAAAATAGATGTTTTCCACAGTCTATTCATTCCTATATTTTTTAAAATAGGATAATTTTTTTCCTACTTTGAAAGGACTTCATATTTTTTACAAGTGAAAAATAATTGTATTTCAAGACATCTCATAAATGTATTAAGTTTAGGCTCAAAAAATGGGATAGCATTTGCTTTTGTATTTATGGTTGTGGTTCTTTAGTCAATAGATGATTTTAGCAGCACAATTCTTCCATAGTCACTCTTCATTGACATTATGGTTAATTATGATCTCCAGGACACAAGATGTCTACTTGCCAAAATGAGTTGAAGTTGACTCCTTTTGCCATCGTCCAATGCTTCATCTTTACTCCCCTGTCCACTCAGTGGAAGATGGAGGAAAGGGTTTATCAGGGTGTTGTTTACAACACAGTGTCATAAAGTGATTATTATCAATACTATTTCCTTTCACTTATTTTACCTTGTTTCTTTAGTAGTAGAGATTATAAAATAAATTATCCTCAGATCAGAACCAGATGAAGAGAAATGGAATAGGTCAGTGGCTTAAGAAAATTACATTACAAAAATCTGAATTGCTTTTATTATACATGAAGAGATTGTCTGCCTTCAGTAAGTGAAATGAGAGGGCAAAAGACAACTTAAATTTTCAAGGTTTGGTTAGCCATGTGAGTGTGAGTGTGTGTGTGTGTTTGCACACACAACTAGGCACCACAAGTATCTCCACCACTACAAAGGAAAACCTTGTCTTAGAATAGTTTACCTTTAGTAATGTCAGAGCACTAAAGGCAATACACACTAGACTTAAGGGTGAGTGTGTGTTTGTGTGTGTAAATTAGATGCCAGATTTCAAATCGCATTGTTAGATCATGGTATTTTTTATCCATGTTTTATCTCCTAGGCATAAATTGTGTATTTATGTTATTCAACTCTCAATAGATCTTGGGATGATAGATCACAATAAATCTCAAAGTTTTCAATATGGAGAGGATTTATCTGCAATACGTGTTGCATTTTATTAGTGCTTTGCAGTACATTTCTGTCACTGGAGTAAAAATATTTTCAGTTCAGTAATTAAATAAGATACGCTGCCTTAAGTTATGATAAATAATATATTTATTAATATCATTGTTTGTATATATAATTCTGCTTATAGATGCATGTGCTTAAATTCATATGCATATAAATTTATGAATTAGGCCTACTTTATTACTTCACAAATAACTAGATTTTAAACACAGTTTATATAAAATGATTTCTATGATGAGCACTTCTTTAAATTCAGAACATAATTAGTAACTAAGTATCAGCTCCTTTTTACTTACTGGCATCTAGAAACTTTCATCGTGTAATGCGTATGATCCAATACTGATGGCAAACAACATCTCAATTATCTGTTTATTATTAGTTTCACTTTTTATGAAGTTTATACTCATTCCTAAGACATAAAATCAACATGCCATATAAGCTTGCATTTAATATCCACTACCAATGTAGTATCTAGTACAACCCCAAGTGTACACATATGTGGACCTATAAATATGTAATCACAAATCACCACATCAAGAAATAGTCTCTCCTCACTGTATCTTTAGGGAAATCTTGGATACAGGCAATTGTAAAATGCAGTATTTCACTGTTATGATATAATCAGATGACTAGATTAAATGATGATAAAATGCAGTCATATGTAATGTTTTTTAAGTGTACAAAAAATTCAAAAGCATTATTTTTTCCCAATATTACTCTACCTATTAGTGTTGCTACTGACAAGACAGTAAGTTAGCTGTGTGAAGGCTATCTGAAATCCCTTCTGGTATCCTAATTTTATTCCATATATATGGATTAACATACTATTCTTTACTCCTTATAAAAAGGCATAATGATAAAGTAAAAATAACCTCAGTTCTACTTACATATCTGTTCCAGTGAAGCCCTGCAAGAAAGTAAAATAGAAGTCTTTACTTCATAGATTTTTTAAGATAATGTGCATAACTAACAAGTTGCCAGAAAACCATGATGGCATGATCAATGCTCTTTGGACTTCAGAGACACAGAATCATTTTTATCAAATTAATGCATCAGGCAACAAAAGCATTCTAAGAGAAACTAAAGTATTAGCAAGAAAGAAAAAAAATCTAACCTCAAGGCAGGCTTCAGGGGCAGGTGATATGGGCAGTCACACAGAGCCCAATGCTTAGAGAGGCCCTTGCTTGTTAAATGCTCTGCTGTCACAATCTGAAATGCTTAAAAATTATTGAACAAGTGCTTTCCATTTGTATATTTCACTGGCCTGTGCAGATTAGGTACCCAGTTCCGTCTAACCTCTAAAGAAAATCAGCAACTTTACATAGAGCCCTTAGTTAGCAGATTATTCTAATGAAATTGCCTTGGCAAAAATTGTAAGAGTGAGAAAAGTATGACAGTAAAAGGGATGTGACCTAACTGACTCATCTTGCATCTAACCTCTATGCTGCCCTTGTTCATTCCTGGGCATATGCTGAACTAACTTTGGGAGAAATTTAGTTTATAGTTTAACTTTGAAACAAAGATGATAACAGCCCTTTCCCAAAAGAAACTGCCTTTTTGCATGGGAACCAGACTGCCTTTGTAAAATTAACAAATTAGCCACAAAGTTAGAAGTTACGGTTCAGGGGTTATGCAGCCGGAAGCCACAGGATCACTCACTTCCCCAAATGCTCCTATAGATAACATTACTATGATAAAACCTGAGATTAGTGTTTGAAGTATTTTTCAAACCCTACACTTGATGGATCAGCTGGCACCACCGAGATGGATAAACTGGCTCACTCATCTGGTCTTGTGGCCCCTATCCAGGAACCAACTCAGTGCAAGAGGACCGCTTCAACTTTGTATGATCTCTCCGACCCAACCGATCACCACTCCCTACTCAATGCCCCCATACCCACCAAGTTATCCTTAAAAAAACCCAATTTCCAAATTTTTGGAGAGACTGATTTGAGTAACAAAACTCCAGTCTCCTGTTCAGCTGGCTCTGCGTGAATTAAACCCTTTCTCTATTGCAATTCCTCTGTCTTGATAAATCAGCTCTAACTGGGCAGCAAGCAAGGAGAGCCCATTGGGAAGTTACACTAAGGGCCATTTGATAGATGTGTCAGTTGTTTCATTCTTGTTCTACATTTTCACCTTGAACCTTCCTTCATCCAAAATATTTCAAACCTCTCCTTTAAGCTGGAGCATAGCAAGAAAAATATATCTTAGTTATCATTATAAACTCAATGCCCAGCACATAAATAGTACCCATTAATTAAATGCTTGCTTAATTGAATTGATTGTTATAGTGTTTACAGAGTATTTATTAGAAATAATAATTGTGTTTTTTTATTTTATTATTATACTTTAAGTTTTAGGGTACATATGCACAATGTGCATGTTAGTTACATATGTATACATGTGCCATGCTGGTGCACTGCACCCATTAACTCGTCATTTAGCATTAGGTATATCTCCTAAAGCTATCCCTCCTGCCCCCCATCCCACAACAGTCCCCAGAGTGTGATGTTCCCCTTCCTGTGTCCATGTGTTCTCATTGTTCAATTCCCACCTATAAGTGAGAATATGCGGTGTTTGGTTTTTTGTTCTTGCGATAGTTTACTGAGAATGATGATTTCCAATTTCATCCATGTCCCTACAAAGGACATGAACTCATCATTTTTTATGGCTGCATGGTATTCCATGGTGTATATGTGCCACATTTTCTTAATCCAGTCTATCATTGTTGGACATTTGGGTCGGTTCCAAGTCTTTGCTATTGTGAATAGTGCCGCAATCAACATACGTGTGCATGTGTCTTTATAGCAGCATGATTTATAGTCCTTTGGGTATATACCCAGTAATGGGATGGCTGGGTCAAATGGTATTTCTAGTTCTAGATCCCTGAGGAATCGCCTCACTGACTTCCACAATGGTGAACTAGTTTACAGTCCCACCAACAGTGTAAAAGTGTTCCTATTTCTCCACATCCTCTCCAGCACCTGTTGTTTCCTGACTTTTTAATGATTGCCATTCTAACTGATGTGAGATGGTATCTCATTGTGGTTTTGATTTGCATTTCTCTGATGGCCAGTAATGGTGAGCATTTTTTCATGTGTTTTTTGGCTGCATAAATGTCTTCTTTTGAGAAGTGTCTGTTCATGTCCTTCGCTCACTTTTTGATGGGGTTGTTTGTTTTTTTCTTGTAAATTTGTTTGAGTTCATTGTAGATTCTGCATATTAGCCCTTTGTCAGATGAGTAGGTTGCGAAAATTTTCTCCCATTCTGTAGGTTGCCTGTTCACTCTGATGGTAGTTTCTTTTGCTGTGCAGAAGTTCCTTAGTTTAATTAGATCCCATTTGTCAATTTTGTCTTTTGTTGCCATTGCTTTTGGTGTTTTAGACATGATTATGTTTGGTACCTTGAAATTATGGTAATAAAGTTCATATAAGATATGAATGTTTAATGAATAGATAGCAGTTCTACTAATATTTTCTAGGAATTCTACATAATGAAATAACAAACACCATTTTTGTTTTCCGAGTGTTTAAACTGAGGCAAAAATAAAATTTAAAATTGAATAATCATTACTTCTCTCATATGAAAACTAATAATATACATGTAAATAAAATCAAAATATTTTACCCCAAAATATATTTTTTGGCATGCTTTAAAATGGCTTCTGTAGGGCCAGCAAACAGAAGTGGCCTTGCAAAGTTGTCTTTTGTGGAGAAAAATTTGCACTTGTGGCGAATGTTCATTAATGTTGCCAGGCCTTTTCTACGCCTTTCCTAGACTGAGGAGAGATTAAGAGTCTGACACCTTTAAAAGTCTAGAAATAAATATTTACTATCCATTCTCTCTGAGGAAGGCTTCGTCTACATAACAAGGCCACCTTTGCTAGCCAAGCCTCTTCTTTTCTCTCTCTCATAACCTGTCTTACCATTAAACCGGATTTACCAACAATACCTGTTTTTGGCCATGCTCCAATTCTTTCTGTAACCTAGAGATGGTATATAAGCTTCTGTAACTTATTAGGTCTTCATTCCGAAGGCTCCCATGCATACATATGCATTAAGTAGATTTGTATGTCCTTCATCCTATTAATCAATCTGCCTATTGTCAGTGATTTTTTTTTTTTTTTGAGATAGAGTCTCGCTCTGTTGCCCATGCTGTAGTGTAGTGGCATGATCTCAGCTCACTATAACCTCCGCCTCCTGGGTTAAAATGATTCTCCTGCCTCAGCCTCCCAAGTAGCTGAGATTACAGGCACTCACCACCACGCCTGGCTAATTTTTGTAGTTTTAGTAGAAACAAGGTTTCACCACGTTGGCCAGGCTGGTCTTGAACTCCTGACCTCAGGTGATCCACCTTCCTTGGCTTCCCAAAGTGCTGGGATTACAGGTGTGAGCCACCGTGCCCAGCCTAATTTCAATGATTTTCAGTGAACCTCCAGGGGGCCAACAGCAATGGTCCCCACATAAACATATCTACAAAAAATATTGTATAACTCAGGTTTTGAGAAAAAATATCTCTTGTTAACATCATTGAATTGTTTCTTGTGAGTTTAAACAAGCAGAGAAAATGTGTGCATTCCTGACAATAGCCTCATTATTATGCCTGTTTTTCTATATTACTTGAATCCCAAAATTTATGTGTTTCCTTCAACACATTCCTTCTTAAAAAAACTGGCTTAATAGACAGTTTTTGGTGAAAGTTGTTCCTTAAGTTTTTATGTATGTCAAAAAAGTTAACTCAATTTAAGATATGCTCATCCAATCAATAGAAAAATATATTTATATTGACTGATCAATAGTATTGTTTTAAATGCCTAAGAATCAAAAGTGGAAAGTGAGGGCCAGGTGGCCAACTAGACCCAGCCAGGTGGAACAGCTCTCGCTGGGGGACCAAGACAATTGGTGTGCTCCTAACAGATTTTCAAAGGGAAAACACTGAGTGTGGACAAAAGGAAGACATAGAAGCTGGGCTGAAGGGGGAAGAAGCTGGGGACCCTATATGGGGCTATCACACACCTGGACTCCTTCCTGGCTCCCAACAGCTTCAGGGGAATGGGTGATTTGAACTGGCAAGGAGTTTCCTACTCTTGCCATGGGCCTCTGGAACTCCAGCAGGAGGAGACCTGTTGACCACCATGGACACTGGAGTTGGCAGGGAGAGCTGCTTAGAGAAGTGGTAGGGGCAGCAAGCTAGCTGATTGGAGCCCAGAGGGTGGGATGTAGAAGTGTCTCTAACAGAGCATGGCCAGGGACAGCCATCCTCCTAGGCTCGACTTGCACCCATAAGAGATTTTAGCCCTAGGGGAGCTGTCAGTCCCGAACTTTGAGGGCAGTCTTGCCCATCAGACAGGGTCAGTCCGACCTGAGAATTCCTTGGTCTGCTGGCCCCTTCCAGGGCGCCAGCCTAGCTATGCCTAGGTGCAGGGCAGCCTCGTGTGCCCTAGGGGCCCACACCATAACTTTTGTGCTGGTGGACCATGCCTGACTGGCAGAGAGCCTCAGTGGGGCAGCCTCCATGGCCATGCACTAGCCTGTACGCTCCCTCTCCATACTGCAGCTTCCCCCAGGCTCAGGGCAACTCCCCGCATCTCATTGCTGATATGTGTCTCCACGGGCTGGCTTTGCTTTCCTCACCCTCTCAGCGCACAGGAGTGCAGTCCATCCTGTTCCATGCTGAATGCCATTGCAGACAGAGCCTTGGTGGGCACAGAGCCCACCCCCTGCAGTGCCCTGCCCTGTAGCTAACACTGTATAGAGAACAGTAGATCCTCCCTTGCCCTGAGTGACTACTCCTGCTTGCAGGGCACAGAGACAGCACCCAGACCTGTGCCCACCAGCATAACACCACCTCTAGCATGACCATATACACAGTTGCCAGAAGGGGCCCCTTGGTCTGCCCTCTCCCCTGGCATTGTGGTGAATGCCTGCAGGGAGGGAGGCAACCAATAGCATGCTACTACAGCTCCTGCTACCCCTGCTGACATGTGACAATAAGAACAGATCCTGCTGCCACCAAAATACGAAACGTTTTGGCTGACATAACCCATCAGAGTGTACTGCCCAGGAGATCAGGAGCACCTTCAATCCCCAGCGCAGTGGATTCCTAACAATCAGGAGACAGAGAACAAAGCCAGGGCCAAATACAAGTCCTACAGAATTACAGCAGGCAGTCCAGGAGCTGGGAACTGAGCATTGGCCCCATAAAATCTTGTAGAATTGAAGCCAGTCAGCTGCTACCTTCATGTTATACCAAAATGAAACCCTCAAAGTCATCAAATAGTATAAAAGATAAAAAAAAAAAAAGCCCATCCAAAGGTCCACAACCTCAAAAATTGAAGGAAGATAAGCCCACAGGAAAGAGAAAGGATCAGTTCAAGAACGCTGACAACACAAAAAGCTGCCGCACCTCCTTTCCTCCAAATAACCGCATCACCTCTCTAGCAAGGGTTCTGAACCAGGCTGCAATGGCTGAAATAACAGAAACAGAATTCAGAATATGGATAGGAACAATGATTACTGAGCTACAGGAGTACGTTAAAACCCAATCAAAGGAAGCTAAAACTCATGAGAAAACAATGCAGGGGCTGACAGACAAAATGGCCACTATAGAAAAGAATGGAACCAACCTGATAAAGCTGCAAATGAACTACAAAAATTTCATAATGCAATCACAATATTAACAACAAATTATAATAAGTAGGAAACAATTCTCAGAGTTTTAAGACTGGCTTTCTGAAATAAGACAGTGATACAAGAATAGGGGAAAAAATGGAAAGGAAAGAACAAAACATTTGAGAAATATGGTATTATGTAAAGAGACAAAATCTATGACTGATTAGTCTACCTGAAAGAGATGAGGAAAGTGTAACCAACTTGAAAAACATATTTCAGGATGTCATCCATGAGAACATCCCCACTCTACGTAGAGATGCCAACATTAAAATTCAGCAAATGCAGTGAACACCAGAAAGATATTTTACAAGAAGATCATCTCCAAGACATATAATCCTGAGATGCTCTGCAGTCAAAATGAAAGAAAAAAATGTTAAATGCAGCTAAAGAGAAAAGTCAGGTCACCTGCAAAGGGAGGCCCACCAGATTAACAGCAGATCTCTCAGCAGAAACCCTATAAGCCAGAAGAGATTGAGGACCAATATACAATATTCTTAAAGAAAAAAAATTCCAACCCAGAATTTTATATCCAGCCAAACTAAGCTTCCTAAGTGAAGGGAAAATGAGATCCTTTTCAGACAAGCAAATGCTGAGGGAATTTATTACCCCCGGATCTGAAAGAAGCTCTCAAAGGAAGCTTCAAGAGCACCTTAAGGAAGCACTAAATGTGGAAAGGAAAGACCATTACTAGCCATTACAAAAACACACTGAATACACAGACCAGGGACACTATGAAGCAACCACATAAACAAGTCTGCAAAATAACCAGCTAACATGATTACAGGATCAAATCTACACATATTAATACTAGCCTTGAATGTAAATGTCCTAAATGCCCCAATTAAAAGGCACAGAGTGGCAAGCTGGATGAGGAACCAAGACCTGTTGGTATGCTATCTTTAAAGACCCTTCTCACATGCAATGACATACATAGCCTTAAAATAAAGAGATGGAGAAAAATCTACCAAGCAAATGGAAAACAGAAAAAAGCAGGGGTTGCAATTCTAGTTTCTGACAAAACAGACTTTAAACCAACAACATCAACAAAGACAAAGAAGAGCATTACAGAATGGTAAAGGGTTCAATTCATCAAGAAGATATAACTATCCTAAATACATATGCATCCAACACACAGGAGCTCCATAAAACAAGTTCTTAAAGACCTTCAAAGAGACTTAGACTCTCACACAATAACAGTGGGAGACTTTAACACCCCACTGACAATATTAGACAGATTATCAAGAAAGAAAATTAACAAAGATATTCAGGACATAAACCCAGCATTGAATCAAATGGAGCTTATAGACATCTATAGAACTCTCCACCCCCAAGCAACAGAATATACATTCTTCTCATCACCACATGGCACATACTCTAAAAGCAATCATGTAATTGGACGTAAAACACTCCTCAGAAAATGCAAGAGGACTGAAATCATAAACAAACTCTTGGACCACAGTGCAATTAAATAAGAAATTAAGACCCAAAAATTTACTCAAAATCATACAGTTATATGGAAATTGAATAATCTGCTCTTGAGTTTACCTTTGGGTAAATAATAAAGCAGAATTCAAGAAGTTCTTTGAAACTAATGAGAAGAGAGATGCAACATACCAGAATCTCTGGGACACAGCTAGGGCAGGATTAAGAGGGAAACTTATAGCACTAAATGCTCACATCAAAAAGTTAGAAAGATCTCAGTTAGATTAACAACCTAATATCACAACTAAAAGAACCAAAGTACCAGCACCAAACCGATCCCAAAGCTTGCAGAAGACAAGAAATAACCAAAATTAGAGCTGGACTGAAGGAGATAGAGAAACACAACAATTTTGAAAGATCAATGAATCTAGGAGCTGGTTTTTTTAAATTAATAAAATAGACCATTAGCTACACTAATAAAAAAGAAAAGAGAGAAGATTCAAATAAACACAATCAGAAATGAGAAGGGGGATATTACCACTGACACCAAAGAAATACAAATAGTCATCAGAAAATACTATGAGCACCTCTATGCACATAAACTCAAAATTCCAGAAGAAATTGATAAATTGCTGGACACATACACCATCCCAAGACTGAACCAGGAGGAAATTGAATCCCCAAACAGACCAAGAACAAGCTCTGAAATTGAGTCAGTAATAAATATTCTACTAACCAAAAATTAGCTGAAGACCAGATAATTTCACAGCTGAATTCTTCCAGATGTACAAAGAAGAGCTAATGCCATTTGTACTGAAAATATTCCAAAAAAATGAGGAGGGACTCCTTCCTAACTCATTCTATGAGGCCAGCATCATCCTGATACCAAAATCTGGCAGAGACACAATAAGAAAATAAAACTTCAGGCCAGTATCCTTAATGAACATTGATGCAAAAATCCTCAACATAATGCTGGCAAACCAAATCCAGCAGCGTATCAAAAAGATGATTCACCACAATCAAGTAGGCATTATCCATGGGATGCAAGGTTGGTTCAAAATACACGAATCAATGAATGTGATTCATCACATTAACAGAACTAAAGACAAAAACCACATGATTATCTCAATAGAGGCAGAAAAGCCTTTTGATAAAATTTGCCACACATTCATGTTAAGAGCTCTCAATAAACTAAGTGTTGAAGGAACATAACTCAAAATAATAAAAGCCATCCATGACAAACCCACAGTCAACATTACACTGAATGAGCAAAACCTGGACGCATCCAACTGGCAAAGACCAGGATGCCCTCTCTCACCACTCCTATTCAACATAGTATTGGAAGTCCTGGCCAGGACAATCAGGCAAGAGAAAAAAATAATGGGCATCCAAATAGGAAGAAAGAAAGTTAAACTATCTCTGTTTTCAGATGATAAGATCCTACATCTAGAAAACCGCATAGTCTCAGCCCCCAAATCTCAAGCTGATAAACAACTTCAGCAAAGTTTCAAGATACAAAGTCTATGTACAAAAATCACTAACAGTCCTATACACCAACAATACTCAAGCAAGAGAGCCAAAGTAGGAATGCTATCCAATTCACAACTGCCACACAAAAAAATAAAATACCACAGGAATACAGCTAACCAGGGAAGTCAAAGATCTCTATAAGGAGAGTTATGAAATACTCCTCAGAGAAATCAGAGATGATACAAACACATGGAAAAATATTCCATGCTCATAGATAGGAAGAATCAATATCATTAAAATGGCGAGACTGCCCATAGCAATTTATAGATTTAGATTCAATGCTATTTCTATTAAACTGCCAATGCCATTCTTCACAGAACTAGAAAAAGTTATTTTACAATCCATATGAACCAAAAAAGTGTCCAAATAACCAAGGCAATCCTAAACAAAAAGAACAAGGCTGGAGGCATCATCTACTCAACTTCAAAGTATGCTACAAGGCTACAGACACCAAAACAGTATGGTATTGGCACAAAAATAGACATAGAGACCAATGGAACAGAATAGAGAACCCAGAAATAAGGCTACACACCTACAACTCTCTGATCCTTAAACAAGCTGACAAAAACATCACTGGGGAAAGGACTCCCTATTCAATAAATGGTGCTGGGATAATTGGCTAGCTATATGCAGAAGAATGAAACTTGACCCCTTCCTTACACCATATACAAAAATTAACTCAAAGTGAGTTAAAGACTTAAATATAAAACCCAAAACTATAAAAACCCTGGAAGACAACCTAGGCAATACCATTCTGGACATAAGAAAACACAAAGATTTCATGACAAAGACACCAAAAGCAATTGCAACAAAGCAAAAACTGACAAATGGGATCTGATTCAACTAAAGAGCTTCTGGACATCAGAGGAAACTATCAACAGAGTGAACAAACATCCTGCAGAATGGGAGAGAATATTTGCAAAAAAGTAAGTCCATATGTAGAAATTTACCCTTACTCCAGAACTATGCAAAAAGACATAAGAATGCAATTACAGGTATGAGTTCTGCATGTTTCTTTGAAAAGGCTTCAAGTATTAGAAATAAAATGATGGCATAATAATACCTCTTCACGTTACCAACTAGTTATCCAAATACAAGCAAGTTGGGATAACTGGCTAGCCACATGCAGAAAATTGAAACTGGACCTCTTCTTTACACCACATACAAAAATCAACTCAAGATGGATTAATAACTTAAATGTAAAACCTAAAGCTATGAAGCCCTGAAGGATAACCTAGGAAATACCATTCTAGACATAGGCCCTGGCAGAAAATGTCAAAAGCAATTACAACAAAGACAAAAACTGACACATGGGACCTAATTAAACTAAAAAGCTTCTGCACAGCAAAAGAAACTATCAACAGAGTGAACAGACAACCTACAGAATGGGAGAAAATATTTGCAATCTATGCATCTGACAAAAGTCTAATATCCAGAATCTATAAGGAACTTAATTTACAAGTAAAAAAACAAACAACCCCATTAAAAAGTGAGCAGAGGACATGAACAGATACTTTTCAAAAGAAGACATACATGTGGCCAACATGTGTGGAAAAAAAATGCACAACATCACTAATCATTAGAGAAAGTCAAATCAAAACCACAATGAGATACCATCTTACACCAGTCAGAATGGCTATTTTTAAAAAGTCAAAAATTAACAGATGCTGGCAAAGTTGTGAAGAAAAAGGAACACTTATACACTGTTGGTGAGAATGTAAATTTGTTCAACCACTGTGGAAGACACTGTGGCAATTTCTCAAAGACCCAGAACCAGAAATACTATTGGCTTCAGCAATCCCATTACTGGTTATATACCCAAAGGAATATAAATTGTTCTATTATAAAGACACATGCATGCATATGTTCACTGCAGCACTAGTCACAATAGCAAAAATATGGAATCAACCTAAATCCCCATCAGTGGTAGTCTGGATAAAGAAAATGTGGTACATATACATTATGGAATACTTTACAGCCAGAAAAAAAAGAATAAATCATGTCCTTTGCAGGAACATGGATGGACACACATGTATAATTTTATGATTTACATACATCTATAAAAATATATATACCTCTACAGCTTTTCACATATTTCTGTTCTGAAATTCAAAAAGAAATTAAACTGTCTCGGACATAACATATTTGTCTGAAGAGCCATTTGGATCCAAGCCAATTAGGAAAATAATGGACAAATATCTGTCTACATCCATTATCCTTAGCGAACTAAAAAAGGAACAGAAAACCAAATACCACACATTCTCACTTATAAGTGGGAGATAACTGATGAGAACTCATGGACGCAAAGAGGGGAACAACAGACACTGAGGCCTATTTGAGGGTGGAGGGTTGGGAGGGAGAGGATCAGGTAAAATAACTAATGGGTACTAGGCTCAACACCAGGGTGAAAAAATAATCTGTATAAATTGAATTATTTAGTGTAGGTACTGTTAGTGCTCTACCTAAATTGAATTATTTAAAGTAGAAATTATAGCACACAGTTGTCTGAAAGCTAATCTGATATCATGTTTAAAGTATACATCCACATGTCCTAAAGTAAATTTTTGTTAATATTTTTTGTTATTTTGAACAAAGACGGTGCTTCTTATTATCAAGGAAGATTACTAATTTTTCTTTCTTAGAAATACATCAGTTGATCATTTTATAAGTAAAATTTCTAAAACATGGAATCAAATTATGTGTGGAGACTCTGATAGAGAAAACAGTGAAGTTAACTGATTAAAGTAGAGTCAAACACATGGCATTGACATTATTAATACAATTTGTGAAAACTTGTCTAATACATTGGGCCATTATTTTTTTGAATGTGTATTTTATTTAATTCAAAATAAAAATACAATATATTAGTGGGATTTAGAATAAATTCCATGATAAGATGCAACACATCTTTATTATTGAGTTTTCTTTTCTTTCTTTCTTTCTTTTTCTTTTTTTTTTTTTTTTCCCACTCTGTAGCCAGACTGGAGTGCAGTGGCAGGATCTCAGCTCACTGCAACCTCCGACTCACTGGTTCAAGCGATTCTCCTGCCTCAGCCTCCCAAGTAGCTGGGATTACAGGCACGTGCCACCACGCCCAACTAATTTTGTATTTTTAGTAGAGAAGGGGTTTCACCATGTTGTCCAGGAGGATCTCGATTTCCGGACCTCGTGATCCACCCGCCTCGGCCTCCCAAATATCCCTTTTACAGTTGTAGTCTTATGTAATAGGACTTGATAAAAGGAGAAAGAGGAAAAGGAGGAGGAGAAAAAGATGAAAACTACTAGCAATCTTTATATACAAGAATCAGAATGTAATTAAAGTATTATTTATTATCTACATCTTAATCATTAATTTTCACCTTAAGTGCATTCTTCTAAAATTGATTATTAGTAGTTAAGTTTAAAATCTGCTTCCTTGATTTTCGTTTGTGTGAACTGATTATTAGGAAATTATGCTCTTGATAAAAACTGTATTTTTAATCAGAATTTGTTAAATTTACAAAAAGGTTTCAGTCTGTGCATTACTTTTAATGTGAAATACACACATGTATAATTTTATGACATATACTTCTATGAAAATATTTATCTCTACAGCTTTTCATATTTTTTGGGCTGAAATTAAAAAGGAAATTAAACTGTCCTGGGCATGACCCATGTTTGTCTGAGGAATCATTTGGATCCAAGCCAATTAGGAAAATAATGGACAAATTATCTGTTTATATCTTCTCTCATCACAGACAACTCTCTGATCCAAATAAGTTATAAAATTTTCCTTGGATTCTAGATTTCTAATGAGACCATTTTTGTTCTTGAGGAAACATCAAAATCACTACTGATAGGTAGTTAAATCCCCTCCAACCGTGAAGAAACAAGAGTTATGGAAAAGGGCGATTACCACAGAGTCACTACATGCTGCACATACAACCATTAGAGAAAAATAAATGCAAGTGAATTTAGAATAACACAGATAGCACACATGAATTCCTGCTTTCAGAGAACAATCAGCTGCCAAAAATCTTATTCTAAGGATCTATATAGACTTTAGGCCTCAATTTCTGATTGGATTTCACAAGTGAAATGTTAGAAAAACATAATCTTCTTAACAAACTACATTAAAATTCCCCTAAAATTCTTAAAACACAAAGCTTCATTCTACTTACTTTCAGGAACTCAGATTTTCTCATTTATATTACCACTGAAGCTCAGTTTGAATGACCTTCTTATATATTCTGACTAAATCACAAAGATATACTATAGCAAAAAACACAAACTCTTCATGTCTCTCTCTTTCCATATATATACATATACACACATATGTATACACACACATATATGTACATGTATATAATTATATATATGTGTATGTAATTTGGCATTTTTGATTAAAATATACTCACCCTTTTCTAATACCAACCCTAGTTTAATGTCTTCTTCTAGACTATTAAAAAAAATACTCAACTCTGACCTTGTATCTTTATAACAATTGAGATATGTTACATAATTAACCTAGAGGTCAAAAATTTTTATTAGAGATACAAGTATGTCCTCATTCACACCCTACATCTTCTAATTTTATTCTAGTGCTGACTTTGGTTTTTAATATCTAGTCCTAGGTGGCTTCATTTTATTAAACTATTCAAAAGGAAATAGAAATGAGTACATGATTAAAAGAACCAATAAAGTAATATCAGTCAAAAATAGTAGAATGAATTATCAAGAAAAAAAATAAGAAGACAGCATGCATATTCCAACACTTTCGTCTGAGAAACTAGAAGAATTTTCCAGAACTTCATCATAAGGAATTATAATAACACCTGGACTGCAAATGGCAGAAATTGCAGCAAAGAAGGTGCAATGAATATCTCCCAAAATTCATACGTTGAAACTTAATTCTTATTATGGTGATATTAAGAGGCAGGGCCTTTCAGAAGTGACTAAGAACCCTCATGAATGGGTTAGTGCCATATAAAAGGGTTGGAGAAAACTAGCTAGGCCCTTTTTGCTTTTCTGCTCTTCCACCACGTGAGGACACAGTGCTTGCTGCTTTTGTCATGTGAGGATGCAGCAAGAAGGCCCTCACAAGACATCAAATGTTGACACTTTAATATGGTACTTCCAAGCCTCCAGAAACTTAAGAAAGAAATTTCTATTATTTATAAATTATTACCCAGTCACCACTATTATGTTATAGCAGCACAAACAGACTGAGACAGAAGGTATCTAAATCTTATACAATGTTAACATCATGTTCTCTGAAATTCCACTTACAATCAGTAGCAAAATATAACTTATTCTTTTTCATTTTAAGTTTGGGGTACAGAGGCAGGTTTGTTATATAGGTAAACTTGTGTCATGGGGGTTTGTTGTACAGATTATTTTGTCACCCAGATATTAAGCCTAGTACCCATTAGCTGTTTGTCCTGATCCTCTCCCACCTTCCATCCTTCAACTTCAGATAGGCCTTAGAGTCGTTGTTCCCTTCTATGTGTCCATGTGTTCTAATCAGTTAGCTCCCACTTGTAAGTGAGACTATGCAGTATTTGATTTTCTGTTCCTGTGTTAGTTTGCAAATGGCCTTTAGCTCCATCCATGTTCCTGCAAAGGACATGATCTCATTCTTTTTCATGGCTGCATAGCATTCTGTGGTGTGTATGTACCATTTATCCAGTCTATCACTGATGGGCACTTAGGTTGATTCTATGTCTTTACTATTGTGAATAGTGCTGCAGTGACATAGGCATGCATGTGTCTTTTTAATAGAACAATTTATATTCTCAGGCCAGGCACGGTGGTTCATGTCTGTAATTCCAGCACTTTGGGAGGCTGAGGTGGGCGGATCACAAGGTCAGGAGTTTGAGACCAGCCTGATCTATATGGTGAAACCCCATCTGTACTAAAAACAATACAAAAATTAGCCAGACATGGTGGTGCACTTGTAGTCCCAGCTACTCAGGAGGCTGAGGCAGGAGAATCTCTGGAACCCAGGAGGCAGAGGTTGTAGTGAGCTGAGATCGCACCACTGCACTTCAGTCTGGTAACAGAATGAGACTCCATCTCAAAAAAAAAAAAAAAAGAAAAAAAGAAAAAGAAAATATATATTATCTTGGATATATACCCAGTAATGGGATTGCTGGGTCAAATGGTATTTCTGATTGTAGGTCTTTGAGGAATTGTCATGCTGTCTTCTGCAATGGTTGAACTAATTTACCCTCCCACCAACAGTGTCTAAGCATTCCCTTTTCTTCACAATCTTGCCAGCATCTGTTATCTTTTGGCTTTTTAGTAATAGCCAAAACACAACTATTAATAGCAAATAGCATAGCCTATGGAGAGCCTTTACTTAAAAATACACACTTATTTCAGAGTAAGAGAGTATATTCTCATGACATTAAAGATAATCTAGAACATGTTTCATATACATGGATCCAGACATTCAAGGAAATCATACTTATCCAGTAGAAAATGTCATTAATGTTTGTGAAGATGATCAATTAAGACCCAGACTTGTCATCTGGGTATTGAAGCACTTTATACAGACCTTTTGATTTAAGATTCTCTCAAAAGAAAACTGATTGACTAGGTAAGAATTTTAAATACTAAATAAATCTTTAAATTTAAAAAATGGTTAAGAAGGACAAATGTACTCTTTGATTAAAGAGGTTTAGATATTTTTTACTCATCTGTCATAGCAGCCTTCTCCCATTGCCTTTGTGAAATATTAGACTATTTATAACATTTTTATTTATTTTTATTCATCCTTTTTATTTGTAGTAGAAGGAAGAGGTACAGAGAAGAAGGAAATTTGAATGCATTATCAAAAATACATAACACATACAAAATTCCATATACAAATGTACATAAATGTCACGAATGGCTTTTCAATATAAGGGATACTGTGAAGTTAATGGAATAGACTCTGGCCATGTTGAATTCAAATCAAACTATAAAAAGAAGGAACATCTCTCTCATTGTCTTAGTATGGTTTGTGCTCTGATATTGGGTCATATAATTTCCTTAAAATAAGGTGCAGAACCAGCTACTCTTTTGATGAAAAAAATCACATTTTAGAATACACTAAACAAATTGTAATTTAGAAATAGATTTAGTCAAATAAGAAGCTATTATTGGCAATACCTGTATCTCCAGCACTGCATTTGGAACTTTGGCAAAATGCAGTTCCAAAAATTTTTAACAATAAAGCATCCTTCTTACATTCAAGAAGCTTAAATTTGGATGAGCCACATTAAATAAATATAATTAACTTAAAGAAATTAAAGACAACTAATTTCAAGAATAACTTCAGAGAAGTGAGTTAATACCAATAACAAATTGATACTAATTCTAATCCTTTGTTCATAGTGACAGGAAGTCAAATACTTCTAGGCCAATATGACACACGGCAAAACATTATGAGATTTGTATTACACTACATTTATAAGAGGGTCTGTTTTTTTCTTTATACATTTGAATATTCTTGTACCTTAGGTACCAATTAATAATGAGGGATACAAGAAATTTGTGCTTTTAGTATCTACCTAATAAAATTAACATTAACATGAATACATTCAACAAATTTTAATTCATTGCCTACTGTAAGCCAAATATTGAAGTTGGCACTGAAGAGATGGTCATAAGCAAATTAGCACCATCCCTTATTAAGTAGATAGATTTATAAATTTATCTAAATATTTGTTTTTGGTTTGGGATTTAACTATGAGTTACCATAAACATATACCTAAGAACTTGGAAATAAGGAGACTACTTTCTTAGTTAAAAGGTATTTCAATACACTCTGGATTAGAAAAATAGATCACTAAAGTCATCTCAAAAAGAAAAATATGGCCCTAAAACCTTTAAGACAACCTATAACTTTATTGATATATTAGCATATCAAAGAAATAATATGTCAATTAGTAGGAGGGCCTCAGTCTTGGAAACAAAGGATAACAAAACACTTGTGAAACCATTGGCAGCCCCCATCCAAACATGCTTTTGATCCAGCGCGAGTGTATTCTTAAACAATTGAATGTTTTCTTAAGACTAGAATTAAGAACTAATGGTATTCAAGGCCTGTGGCTTTATACTGTGAACACCAAGCAAATTTCTGAATATAATTTGCTTTCTTATATGATCTGCTTTCAGGGAAAGATGTGGTTACACTGATAAAATTACTATAATCTTCATGATGGTTTTAGTTCTTATTGTAAAACAAGTCATTGGCATTTTGATTTTATACATCAGTCTCTGTGACTTTAGTGAATACATATCTATCCCCGAAAGTAGCCCACGTTCAGTATGCCAAAGCATCACAATTCTAAATCAGAAAACATGAAACTGGATCAGGACAAATTTACTAATGTAATAAAGGCACTCTATCAAAACACAGGGAAAAACATTAGTTGTCTTTCACAGATCATAGTACAATTTAATGGTAAGTTTCTGGCCATACATGACATCATTATTCCAAATGTCTACATTTCCTGCTGTTTTCGTTTTTGGGGTGAGAAACAGGGCTACAACTATAAGCATTAGGGTGATACCTGCAGATGTATATGCCAAATTGAACTCAATGGAGTATACGGTACAAATCCTGTCTTAGGTTGTGGGCACAGATAATTCCGCAATAATTTAGTATGCTAGTTAACATTTTATAAATTGGAATGTATTGGTTGAAAAGAATATGGGCAGAACATTGTGGAAAGATGATTTCAGAAAGGAACCCCAAAAATGTGTTTGCAAGACATATAGAATATCTTAGGATCTAACGAAATGCAATCATTCTAGTAAACCATTCTAAACACCTGTTTTTAATAACAAACATGTGAGTTCGAAGCTAAACACAGGTCTTTCTCATCCCAAATGAAGATCATCTAAAAAGCTTACCTCTTACAAAGATATTTTTCATTTAATTATTTACTTCTAGAACCTCTCATGCAAATTCTTATTATGTCTAGGTTTCTCAAAACTAGGTGGCAGAAAAGAAAATACATTTCTTTAAAAAATATGTTAATAATAATAATAAATCCAGGGGTGGGGGTGGTGTTTCCTTTTTCAGTACTTCAAGTAAGGGAGGGGACCACCCCTCATATTGTCTTATGCCCAATTTCTGCCTCCAAAGAAAGAAGAAGTAAAAACTAAAAGGCAGAAATGAAATCCACAAGCAGACAGCCCGACGCCACACCCTGGGCCTGGTAGTTAAAGATCGACCCCTGACCTAATCAGTTATTTGTATAAGAAAAGCACTGTGAAGATCCCTGTCCTGTTCTGTTCTGTTCTAATTACTCGTGCATGCAGCCCCCAGTCACATACCCGCTGCTTGCTCAATCGATCACGACCATCCCAAGCGGACCCCCTTAGAGTTGTGAGCCCTTAAAAGGGACAGGAATTGCTCACTGGGGGAGCTTGGTTGTTGAAGACGTGAGTCTTGCCAAAGCTCGTGGCCAGATAAAGCCCTTCCTTCTTTAACTCGTGTCTGAGGGGTTTTGTCTGCAGCTTGTCCTGCTACACAAGCATTCTTTAATTTCTTTTCCAAATAATTTTGACTTACCTTCCTTTCTCATTTTGTTCTTCCTGATGACATTCATCAATCTAATTATCATGGCAAGAGTTTGTCCTCATAATCTTTAATTGAAAATTATACGGGGGCAGCTGTCACTGTCAGTGTTTGTCATATTGTTGTTTTAGTCATGACTGTACTAGCAGAATGCTAACTGCACCAGAAATATTAAGCAATTCCATCCACAAATAAGTTTCTTTATAGGAATGAAGGTAGGAGAGAGAGTGGTGTAAAGAAGAGAGGGTTCCAATTAAGTGCAAATCCACTGGTTTTCTCCCAGTGACTACCAGGGAGATTTGAAGGGCAGAAAGATGTCATTATTTTCTTGGTCCACAGTAGTAGAAGTGATGTTACTAGTACTAACAAATTGTATATTGATTGAGTGCAAAAATTGTTTTGCTATGCACTTTTATTAATGAATAAATCTAGATCATAAAACATAGTTAATGAGGACTAAGCTCTGCTTTTTTCTTACCTTGCTCAAACTCCTATCTAAGTGGTCTGGGGAATCATGCCCCATAAACCATAAATTCTAACCAGATGGGTTTTATTTAACCCTATATATTGTGACTTACTTTCCAATTTGACTCTGGCAAAACATTATGTGACAAAGAAGAATTCCAAAATATTTTACCTCAAAACATGTTTCTTTGCCATATTTTGAAATGGCCTGTCAAAGCCATCCTTTGTGGGGAGAAATTTGCTTCTCTAAAGAATCTCTATTAAGATAGCTAGATCTTTTTCTTCCAGGCCCTCCCAATCCTGAAGAGATTACCTGAGAGTCTAGTGCCTTTTAAAATTCTGAATAGGAAACATCTGCAGCCACTATGAGACTTCAAAGAACCTTGGGCTTCACAATCTTTTTGTCTTAACCTGAACATTTCCCTTCTATTGATCCCCAGTCTTTAGACAAACTCAACCAATTGTCAACCAGAAAATGTTTAAATTTACTTACAGCTTGGAAGCACCCTCCCCACTCCACCCTGCTTCTAATTGTCCTGACTTTCTGGATCAAACCAATGTATTTCTCAAATGTATTTGATTGATGTCTCATGCCTCCCTAAAATGTATAAAACCAAGCTGCACCCCGACCACCTTAGGCACATGTTCTCAGGACCTCCTGAGGGCTGTGTCATGGGCCATGGTCACTCCTATTTGGCTCAGAATAAATCTCTTCACATATTTTACAGAGTTTGACTCTTCATCAACATTAGTTTGGTAGAATGTGTTGGAAGTAGAGAAGGTAATGAAAAAAAAGGAGTGTTTCTTTGTTCTTATGTAACTTAGTAGCCCATATAATAGCCATGCAACTATTAATCATAGAATAGTCCTTTAATATGTATCCCTCATGGACATAAAGAGCATAACTTTCAAGAAGGTTGAAAGATGAATGAAACACTGGGGCAGATCCAGCATGCTGTCCAAATGAGACATTTCTAATGGAAAATAAGGGGATCTGGACAATGTGCAGAATCTAAGGTCATTCTGGCTCCCTCCATACTGTGAAATAGCCAACTAGCATCTCCAGTCCAATCTGTCAGCCTGTCAAAGTTAAAATAATCCATGGATATCTCACCTTTTATTCAGATTAATCAGTCACT
Organism: Homo sapiens; assembly: GCF_000001405.40. Taxonomy (NCBI): domain Eukaryota; kingdom Metazoa; phylum Chordata; class Mammalia; order Primates; family Hominidae; genus Homo; species Homo sapiens. The sequence goes on from NC_000003.12 coordinate 104,546,442, forward strand.
AAGTAGCATAATGAAAATTAATTAGAAAAACACTAGGCAAGATAATGCACGGTGTTATCAGTGAGAACTGCAAAGTCTCACACACGCCAGACCAATACAACAGAACCTGTTGCCACATGTTCAGGATTAGCCTGTATTTGTGCTTTGGAGTAATTTGCCAGAGGCATTACATCATGATAATCCTTGATTTCTTGTGAGATGTTGTGAATTATGTCTTCTAAGCAGTCCCTATGAACTTTACGTAAGATACTAGACTTTTTGCTTTTTGGTACTTTTAGGTAATTTACTAAAAATAAGGAAAATATTTTTAAGCCCATAATTTTAAAATAAATGTTTAATGACAATATAATATAGGAATTGGGGTTATAATTACTGAGAATGTTATCTTTCCATATTACTTTTCTATAAATAATATATTTCTCCATAACCATTACTGGAATCTATAATTTTTTATGTATCTGCTACTATCATAATGAAGAGTGCAAAGATATATTTATTTTTGTAATTATTCATTTCAACACCTGAAAATTATCTCTAGAAATCTCAATTAGATCTAAAGCTTCCCTTTAATTCAGTTTGAACATGGCTCAGCTTAATAGATTCTATTAAGTTTCAGAGATAATTATCATTCCTAAAATATAACTACACACAGTAAAATCCTGTTGTACACGGTGCAGCAGCTTTAAGCCCAACCGACCCCCAGCAATAGTATTTTAAAGAGCTTCCAGTGTTATTTTCCATAATAAGGCCCACTAGTTGGCAGAACCCCTGGAAGCTATGCAAACAGCAACACATCTGTTCTCTAAGATGCAAATGCTATGTCTTAGTAGAGATGTTTATTCCCTTTACCAGCAACATTGTGAAAGAGCAAAGACTGGAGCAGGCTAAAAGGAATTTTCCTTTAAAAATTAGCATATTCTTATAGAAAGAGAAAATTCTGGCAATGTAAAGGAGCGTGAACCCTTGTCCTTTGATTTGTGATACTTAGAGACCAGCCTTTTTTTTTATAATAGCAAAATCAAAGTGTTCAACATTCCCACCTTTGTTTGTGTGTTTTGTTGAACTTTTAAGACAATGCAAACTAAAGTCCACATCAGAAAAGCATAATTTGTAAGTCCATTTATTAGAATGTTGAAACTATTATTTCCAGAGTTAATTATTTGTTTAAATGAGAGATTCAGCCTTGATTTTTAGTGCTTACAAGTAAATGAAATGTTTTTGAATTTCATAAACATACTTAAATATTACATCTATTTTTTAACCAAGGAAAAATGTTCAGCCAAGACTTTCATGAAATTATATCTCTTTTGAGATATGACTTAACCTAAAGAAATAAATAATTAGCCTGTACAGGAAAGAGGTAAACTCCATTAGTAATTTTATAAATTTACAAATAACACCTCTATACTGGAAACATTCAAATTTGCATCTACAACCTTACCATTCTCCTGAGCTCCAGTACTTTATTTCCAACTTCTTCCCAAATATGTGTAGATATTAAAAAGTCAACACGTTAAAAGGCAAAATTTTTTACTTTCAGTTCCACAAAAATTCTTTGCTTCTTTCTCCTGCCTGCACTGCTTGCTTATTATTGTTGTTGTTGTTTTAAAAGAGTACACGTTCTTTTAACAATATTATTATTCTATCAGCCATCAGGAAAAAGAACATTATCACCACCTCCATCCCCCCATCTAATCAATCCTATTCATCTCCATTACTCTCTCCTACTCCAAAGCTTCATTTTCTGTCTTCTGTATACATTGAGAAATCTTCCATATTGCTTTTCCCAGCCAGTCTCTTTCCTTTCAAATATGTTATGAACAACACAGTTAAGTTTCTACATCCCTACTCAAAGTCTCTACTACTTAATATACAAATCGCAGAGTCTTTTACTTGTCATTAGGTTTAATCCCTACCAAGAATCAGCATGGGTTGCTGAAGAAACATGAATGTGGAGAAATTCGTTCAACAACCTAGTAGACGCCAGGGACTAACTACCCTGTGCACGCGAATGTAGCATGAGTTAAACTGAAGTGCCATTTCTCCTTACAAAGCCTATAGTCTGTTGGCAAGCTAATCTGTGTTTTTAATTTTGCTCGCTCATTCCTAGCTGAGTGACTGAACAAATGACTGAATTTCTCGTCTAAGTTGTTTGTTCTATAAAATGATGACTAAGGGGCGTAAGGAAAAGGGAAATATTTACCTCATGAAAGTGTCATTGTGACTTAGGCCTTATATTTATTGAATCCTCATGAAGAAGGTACAATATTACTCCCATTTTACAGATAAGACAATTAAAGTTTGAGGATATCTGGGAGTAGGTATTTAGGAGCTTAATAGCCCGTATACTGTCACTTAGCTAGTAAGTAGAGAAATCAAGATCCAAATCTGTATCTACTTGACTCTAAGCCCACATTTTTAAGTCTCTGTGTTATGGGTCTTGTCACAGGCAACTACCTTGTCATGATGCTATCTTAGCTGGCCTATTAAAAGATAAATTTATTAAAAGCATAAATTACCTGTTGCTAATCTCTATATCCCCAGAACCTCATCTAAGGTCTTGAATATGACAGAAGTCAAATACATACTTACTGAATAAATAAATGTCTGAATGATGGAATGAATTTAAACTTGTAGAATAGAAAGATCTGGGAAAATGTGAGGGGAGGGGGATCTATCAGTTTTTCTGCATGCATCTTCCTCTCTAAGCAGCACAGGCAAAAGTGAAATGGAAGGAAAAAAGAGCTATAGACCACGATGAAGATGATTAAAGAGAGTACAGAGCAGCTGTCAAAGCAAATATCAAGCAACATTAATAACTTTACAGCTCACCATGAGGCTGTCTCAAATATTTTCAAGAAAACAGGATCCTTGCTGTTGTACACAGTAAGTGAGACTAATAATCAAGTGCAGACTCACAGACTCTTTTTCACTGGCCACCATGAGCTGCAGAATTAAAAAAATATTACTAAAAAAGACTCTTAAACTAATGGAAAAATACATGACTCAGAGGAAAATATTATTGCATTCTTGGTATTTTAATTTGGGGCAGAGTTGATAAGAAACAAGATCTACGATGTTCGCCACTTATTATCTAAGTTGTTTGAATAGTCAGACAATATCCCCAAACTTCTGATGCTTATCCAAAAATAACTGTGTTGTGAGTCTTACCAGTAAAATGCTTCGTTACTCCCAGGAACTTATTTTGCCAGTATTTCAATCTATCCAGTAGATTAGAAGGATGATCTATGTGGATAAAAGTGAAAATTTGAAATCAAATGCTAGTATCTGTTCTAAACATGAATTATTTACTTAAAATAGTATTTTTTAAGTGACAGTGATTCTACACATAAGTTTCTTGTGACCTGGTCACAAATTAGGTGCATGGTTTCTTAATTATGGTGTTTATTAAATCTGTTTATTTGCTTATTTACACATTTATTCACTGAGCATAAGCTTTTATGGGTTTTGTTTTGTGACATCTGTGCATCCCTGTATGCAGGTAATAGGAGCCACAAAGAAAACAATAGATTTGGTTTCTAGTCTCATTGAACTAACATTTGCAATTTGTGGGCATTAGGAATAAAAAAGCAAACAGTTTTAATTATGCATTGATTTGGAGATGTGAAAACCCAAATATTATCACTATGCTCAATTTCTACTACTGTTTGATTTTTGGATAGAAAAGATAAGAAAACAGCAAGAGAAAAAGTAGATAAGTGAATAAAAAAATTAAGCTAAGAAAACTTGTAAATTAAGTAAAATAAAAGGGATCATGGCGTAAAGACAAGTTATAGTGGTACTGAACAGTGGCTCCTATGATTCTATAAAAGGTAGAGCAAAATTAAACTGCAATGTGTACACCTTTGATCTTTGTCGGAAGTAATCTTATTTATCTGGTTCTTTCTTATACTTCAAACCTCAACTTAAATGTTGTTCTTCTGAAGAGACTGACTCTAACTCAACTTTCTAAAGAGATCCACTTACAACCATCCAAACAAAGCTACCATCACGTAATTAGTCATTGGTTTTAGTTTTTCACACTAAAATATTTGCCTCATGAAGCTTCAGATACTGCCTTTTATGTTCATCTCTGTATCCCTTGGACCTGGCACATAGTAGGAGCTCAGTAAATAGTTGTTGAATGATAAAAAAATGAATAGAGTTCTAGCCTATTTTTTTCACAAGATGATGTCTGTTTCTAACTGTTAGATTTTTTTTTTTTTCTATTCTATGCTGTGGAGCATGTACTTAAATGTTAGGACATAATATTTATTTTTAGTTTCTGGGTTTCCAAGGACTCAAATATCCTAGGACAGAACCACATATTCCTGTAACTGTAAGGAAGGGTTGTCAAGTTTTTATCTAATATCTTTGCATAGGAAAGTTCTATACCAGCTTTACAACTGTCATTCAGCATATTTACATAACTTTGAGCATACTATATGGAATCCACTTGGTGGTCCTCTCCCCAACTTTGCATTTTTAATGCCAAAATTTACAAAGAAAAAAAAGTTAATTTGTAGAAGGTAGATTAGCAATATGTTCAGAGAAAAAGACCTGGCTTGGATAAAAAGGTACCTCAGAACTCAAGTCTGAATCAACGTAGTTTTGAAATCAGTAATCACTTCAGTAACTAGGAAAGCAAATTACATATTTTTAAAAATCTGAAATGACCAGTAAAAGACTGATGTAACAAAGGATGCTATTAGAGTTTCAGAGACTGTCAAGCTAACAGTTTCAAACACTCCTTAGAAAAATGAAACAGCCAGGCACAGTGACTTACTCCTGTAATCCCAACATTTTGTGAGGCCAAGAAGGGAGAATCAGTTCAGCCCAAGAGTTCAAGATCAGTCTGGGTGACATAGGGAGACCCCAACTCTACAAAAAAAATTTAAAAAATTAACCAGACATCGTGGAGCGCACTTACAGTCCCATCTACTCGGGAGGCTGAGGTAAGAGGATCACTTGCAGCTGGGAGGTCAAGGCTGCAGTGAGCTATGATCACACCACTGCACTCCAGCCTGGGAGACAGTGAGACTGACTAAAAAAAAAAGGAAAAGAAATGAAACTCTCAAGGATTTTTTACCTACCGGTTAGGACCAAAAGAATTAAAGTAAACTGGTTTATTCTGACTTAGCTGATCTTTAACAATATACATCTGAAACAAATTGCTCTGATTTGGTCAACTGAATCTCTTAACATAGATAAAAACTTTTTAACCAGTGATATTTCTTTCAATTTACATTTTTCTTTTTATACATAATGTGGCAGGAAATGGTTAATTTAATGGCTATTCAATTACCTAACTTTAGATGTATGTAAAATGCTAATATGCTAATTCCTAGATCCTTAATCTTCTGCAATAAGATTCACACTAGTGACATGTCTTCTGTTTATTATTTTTGTTTTTTTCAAAACTGCATAATTCAAACATTTGAAATGTCCATCTATGACCTCAAAAGTAAGGATGAAGTAGAAATGTTCACTTGTTTCAAGAGCAAAGAGAAATGAGAGTATATGTTACTTACCAAAAATTTACTTATTGTGTGATAAGTAAATGAAAACACCCTAATTGCTCTTCATATTTAGGGGAAGATAGGATATTATATGTTTTATCAGTTAGCTTTGGAATAATTAAAAGTATAGATCAGAAAAATATATAGTTTATTTGTTTGAAATGGATCATCCCTGAATATACAGCTAATCTAACATATTTGTGATACACATTAGGTAAAAGATTAGTTGTAAGAAGTAATTTGAAAACAGTATCTTATAGGGTTTCAATGAGATTTTTCTGAAAAGGATATTTTATGCATGGACTTGAGCAAACCTGGATACAAAGATGTCAGATTTTATGTCTTTACTAGAGAAAATGATGCCAGTTCAGAAAGGACAGAATATTTTTCTTTAGGATATATTCCTTATTCTCAGAATAAAACAAGAATCTGGGGAATATCTAAACATATTGAAAAAAACTCTTCCTTTTACAGTTTTTGATCTCTGTGAGAACTATCTTACTATTGTTTTTAGTAGCCACAGAAACCAATGTTCCCTTTTTCTTCTTATCTCTTCTCTTAAAAATAACAAAAGACACAACATTAACTTTTGTGGATCATATTTGATTTACCTCTTTCCAGATATCAAAAGGTTGTGAATTTATTTTTTAAATCAATTAAAACTACATGAAAATCCTATCCCTTCTGTTCATATGGTGAGGAATGCCTAAAGCCAAAGGATATGGGGAATATTAGATATGCTTTTCTAAGGAAAAAATAGTAAGACAAAATGGCCTGCCTGAAGTTAACAGTTTATAGATTGCAAAAAGGCACAGACAATTAAAAGATGGAGCTACTTAGGGCAAATTACTTGCAATCAAGCTGCAGCTAAATGAGCTTCTTGATGAGGAAGCCAAATTTATGTTGTTTCAAACCAGGGAGAAACATTAAAGAAGTTGAAAGGTGAGCAAAATGTTAGTACAATTGGATCCAGATAGGTTGATAAGGGAAGCTGTAGAGGCAATTAAAACGCTGCCTCTGAAATACATACACATAGGTACAGACACAGACATACACGCACACAAACCAATACACACAAAACATCCTCAAATAGAAGACTGTATGATTACATACACCTTCAGCCTTCATTTATGTTTTATGTGGATGCCCCTTCTTATCACAAAAACACTGCGGCCTGAGAAGCTCAATCACAGAATATAATCATTTTCCTTTTCAATCTGCAATTTACTACAGACATTTTATTTGAAAATGAGGTATTGTTTAAACTCTAAACCACAGTGTTTTCATTTTTTCCCCTGCCCTAAATTATCCCTTGGCAGCTCTCTGAGTTGATTTTTAAAGAATATGTTTTATAATGAATTCAGAACTTCCACAAAGCACAAAAGCCATGTGAAAGCTTCAAATGTGAAATATCACATTTCTTTCTTTGTTGCTCAATATCCATTTTTGCATTCAGGGCTGTATGCATCAATTTCACTGAAAGCAGGGTATTGTCTACATCTATCTGTCTGAATGAGATGACTTTCAGGACTTTGTAATTTTGAAAAGGTCTTCAAGCCAGGCTATCCTTCATCCCATTTCTGTTGCATTGGAATGTTAGACATAACAAGGTAGACAAAGGAAAGATATAATACAGATCCTTATTGACAGTCAGCAAGTACAAGTATATGTAGAAAGAGATAATTTTCTGCTGGCATTTTCCCTTATCTCGATTCTCTTATCCTTTCATGCATTATGTTTTGCATGAACAGAATCGGAAAAAAATTGACAGCCTTGTATGAAGTACACCAAGAAAGCTTTCTCCTTCAAAGATCTTTTTAGGATATAAAAACTCTCTAAGATTTAGTAACTAAGAAGGACAATAAATGTCCATACTTAGAGCAACAAATAAAAATGTGATTCTGATGCTGACATAGTTTTTTTATAGTTGAAATGTAACCTTGTCAACACTGCCTGGCCAGTTCTGCCATTGAAAAATGGCCCAGGAAAATGCCCAAATGCCAACAGTGGTAGTTATGGATTATTTTCCTATCTGATATTATTCAGCTACATCTGCTGTTTAGTGGAAGCTAAACAGAAAATACTCCATAGGATACTGAGAAAAAATTGGGCATTGAAAATATATTTGTGTCTTTTTTTTCTTCCTGTGAGTTATAAATTTTAAATGGCATATGTAAAGCATTTAGAAAAGGTGTCTCAATATATTGAACATTGGCCAAAGAGGCCTCCAACAGCTAAAGTCATATCACCTGAACGTGATGGGATTTCCAAATTCCCCCTAAATCAGTCTGGTTAGGAGAGCTTAAAGGAAATAGGAATATACATACACAAGAAAAAGTTCATTGTTAACCACCCTATTAACTGTTAACTGCATGCCAAAAATTGGGCATAAGAGTGACTTAAGTCTTAATGACATTTTCAAATATAAGCTTAATAAGGCAAGCCTGCTTTTAAAGATTAGTGAGAAGTAACTGTATTAGTGAATTTTCATACTGCTATAAAGAAATACCCAAGACTGGGTAATTTATGAAGTAAAAGAGGTTTAATGGAATCATGGTTCCACATGGCTGGGGTGGCCTCACAGTCATGACGGAAGGTGAAGGAGGAGCAAAAGCACATCTTACGTGGCAGCAGGCAGGAGAGCGTGTACAGGGAAACTACCCTTTATAGAAACCATTGGATCTCGTGAGACTTATTCACTATATCACAAGAACAGCATGGGAAAAACCCATCCTCATGATTCAGTTGCCTCCCACTAGGTCCCTCCCATGACACATGGAGTATGTGGGAGTTACAATTCAAGATGAGATTTGGGTGGAGACACAGCCAAACCATATCTGTACCTGACCAAGTACCTCTCAAGTTTGAGGCAGCTACATAACCAACAGATGAAGTCTTAGTAAAAGCACAGAACTAGAGTTCAAGTGACCTGGTTTGCACCCTGAGTGCCATCATCATCAAGCATGAAAACCTTATGCAGATCAGTTCACCTTTTTTGGGATGCTTCCTCATTTATAAAATGAAAGATTTTAACTGAGTAATTGCTCAGATTCCTAGAACTGTGTAACTCTAAAAAGATTTCCATAACCCTAGGTTATTTTTTCCTGGTTAACAAATTTTTTGGTTAGACAAAAACAACAATAGCTTATACATCATGTAAATCGTTGTTTCTTTGTGCAGAATTAGGGGCTATATCTACCATAGGAGTAGTTGGCTCAGTGGCTAGGCCCTTGAGTCTGGAGTAAAAGGCTACAGCCGAGACAGTCTCATAGTCATGTGATAAATTGCTTCTGTCTTCTATACTATTAAAGCTCTTAGAAGTTATGGCAAACTACTTATTTCACTCAGGTTTGTATTATATTATGTCAAAACATATCTATCCTTCTCCTATCACTGTGCTACTATAATGTACTTCTTTAGGGACATGACCATGCCGTTTAACTTACATCTCTCTCGCTGTACCAAATAAGACTCCCCTCACAATTTACTCAGTAAATGTTTGTGGAGTAAGATTTTCACTGGCCTCATTTCTCCAACTATCCTGCTTGGCAACTAATCCACAGTCATATAGGCCTCTTTTCACTTCTTTTAGTTTCTTAAATTTGGGCCTCCGCACCCCCACTCCAGCTCATGCTATTTATTCTACTTTTAATGATATACTGCCTGCTCGATTCCCATTCCCAGCTCCAACATTCACACTCTTCATCTTGCCCATCTTTCAGAACTCAGCTTCACTATCTCTTAGGTGACCTTGAATAAGATCTTAATACTTTTCCTTTCCAACAAATAACCCAGTTTTAATTATCTAATTGATTATGATATCACTTATTCATCACTGTGTATCAACTCATCCCAGATTCAATGGCTTCAAACAGAGAAACAAAAAAATACATTTTACTGCTTACATTCAGTAGGTTGGCCAGGTATTACATCAGCTGCTCTCTCCTGGGTTCACTCAACTGGAAGGATGAAAATGGCTTTATTCACATGTCTGGCAGTTGGTGCTTTTGCTGATTGATGGCCTCTCATTCTCCAGTACGTTAGACAAGTTTTCTTATGTTGTAGTCTCAGGACATTATTACAACTGGCAAAAACAGAAACTGTAAGGTGTCTAAAACCTAGGATCCAGAATTTACACACTAAGCTTCTGTCTCATTCTATTAATTAAAGCAATTTATAAGGCCAGCCCAAATTCAAGAGAGTGGAGGAACAGACTCCACTTTTTGTTGGAAGGAACAAAAACATTACATTGCTCTGGGACATGGACACAAGGAGGCTTGACTCATGGGGACCATATTATAACTCTCTACTACATTATGTAAAATTACTAATTTAATTTCTATATTCCCCACTAGACTATCTGTGTATATGAATAGGGACCATGCATTTCCTAATTTATGTTATATTGCCAGCATTTAATGCAGTCTTTATATGTGCTAGGCATTAATAAATATTTGTTGAATGAATAATTAAATGGCTAAATTAATAACAGAGTGGATGAATTAACTTGAAAAAAGATTTCATGAACTATCAGCATGAAGATTTATCCACAAAAATAGAGAAGTGTTTCTTTTTTTGACCACATGAAAAACTAGAAACCATGTAAGCAGAAGTTATCTAAGTTAACTTTTATTGAGTAACTGGACACAGAATTCAGGTGCTCTGTTGTTTTCTATTGCTGCTATAACAAAACGTCACAAACAGCAAATTACTGCAACATGAATTTATTAGCTCACAGTTCTACCAGTCAGAATTCTGGTGTGGTTTAATTTAGTTCTCTGCTCAGGTTTCTCACAAGCCAGAAATTAAAATAGCAACTGACTAGGCTCTTATCTGTAAGATCTGATGTCGAAACAATTTCCAAGCTGAATGATGTTTTTAGTAGAACTTAGCTCCTTGCAGTTGCAGAACTAAGGTTCTCCCTTCTTGCTGGCTGGTGGCTGGGAGTCACCCTCAGCTCCTCCAGTGAGCCCACATTCTTTCCGCATGTCTTCCTTTATCTTCAAGCCAGCAACAATGCATCGGGCCCTTCTCTGCTCAGATCTCCCTGACTTCCTCTGCTGTCCTCACCAAGGAGAATACTTTGATTTAAGGACTCCTGTAATTACATTGGCCCACCTGGGAAATCTAGGCTAATCTCTGTATCTTAAACTCAATTGATTCTTAACCTTAATTACCTCTGCAATGTCATTTTGCCATGTAATATAACATATTCACAGGTGTAACACCAGGGAGCAAAGGTCAGAGAGCCAAAATTCTGTCTACCGTTGATACTCAACAGCAATAAACATTCAGCTGTAGGAAACCTGAAGTCTCCAGAGAGATAATTTAGATAAAATACAGCCTTAAGTATAGGACAGACCTGCTTAGAATCAGGAGTCTAAATTTTTTTGGTTACACAAATATAGCCAATTCTCTTTACCATTATAAATCTCAGCTTTATTTTTTTAATCTGAAAAATGCAAATATTGCTGCATCTCTATCATGTTGCTTTTAACATTAATATAAGAAACATACATATAATCAGCAAAAAAGATTTTTAAAACCTTACATATCAAAGATTACAAAAGAGAATTAGGAGAAAGAACAAAGTCTAAAGATGTTGAGAGAGTACCCTAAAGTTATCTATTTATTTATTCACTTGTTCAAAAATATTTAGGACTAGGCCAGCCACAGTGGCTCATGCCTGTAATTCCAGCACTTTGGGGGGCCAAGGTGGGTGGATCACTTGAAGTCAGGAGTTTGAGATCAACCTGGCCAACATGGTGAAACCCTGTCTCTACTAAAAATACAAAAATTAGCCAGGTGTGGTGGCACGTGCCTGTAATCCCAGCTATTTGGGAGACTGCATCAGGAAAATTGCTTGAATCCAGGAGGCGGAGGGTGCAGTGAGCCAAGATTGTGCCACTGCACTCCAGCCTGGACAACAGAGCGAGACTCCGTCTCAAAAATATATATATATATATATATATTTAGGACTAGGTTTCGATGAAATTAACCTAACAACCAACACTTAATCCTTTGAGAAACTACTTTCTCAACTGCATGGAACTTACCTAGGATAAAAATTAAAATTTAGGAGAAAGTGATTTCAGAGCTCCAAATCTGTCCTGTCTGCCCTCATTTCCATAATCTGCTTTGACTGCCATTTTGTATATCCCCTATAATTTAACCTACTTATTGATCCCATGATCTCTGAAAATATTCTTTTTAATTTAATTTAATTTTTAGTTCTGGGATACATGGGCAGGATATGCAGCCTTGTTATATGGGTAAATGTGTTCCATGGTGGTTTGCTGCACCTATCAAACCATCACCTAGGTATTAAGCCCCGCATGCATTAGCTACTCTTTCTGATGCGCTCCCTCCCACCACATCCCCAACCAACGGGCCCCATTATGTGTTGTTCCTTTCTCTGTTTTTATGTGTTCTCATTGTTCAGCTTCCACTTATAAGTGAGAACATGTAGTGTTTAATTTTCTGTTCCTGTGTTAGTTTGCTGAGGATAATGGCTTCCAGCTCCATCCCTTTTCCTGCAAAGGACATGATCTCATTACTTTTTATGACTGCATAGTGTTCCATGGTGTAAATATATCACATTTTCATTTTCCAGTCTATCATTGATGGGCATTTGGGTTAATTCCATGTCTTTTCTACAGTGAATAGTGCTCCAGTGAACATACATGTGCAGGTATCTTTATAATAGAATGATTTATATTCTTTTGGGTACATACCCAGTAATGGGATTGCTGGGTCAAATGGTATTTCTGGTTCTAGGTCTTTGAGGAATTGCTACACTGTCTTCCACAAGTAAAACCCAGAACTATAAAAACCCTAGAAGAAAAGCTAGACAGTACCATTCAGGACATCGGCACAGGCAAAGATTTCATGACAAAAATGTCAAAAGCAATTGCAACAAACACAAAACTTGACAAATGGGATCTAATTAAACTAGAGCTTCTGCACAGCAAAAGAAACTATCATCAGAGTGGACAGACAACCTACAGAATGGGAGAAAAGTTTGCAGTCTATTCATCCGACAAAGGTTGAATATCCAGAATCTACAAGGAACTTAGTTCCAATTTACAAGAAAAAAAAAAAACACCATTAAAAAGTCGGCAAAGGACATAAACAGACACTTCTCAAAAGAAGACATTACGTGGCCACCAAACATATGAAAAAAAACTCAACCTCACTGATCATTAGAGAAATACAAATCAAAACCACCAAGAGATACCATCGCATGCCAGTCAGAATGGTGATTATTAAAAAGTCAAGGAACAATAGATGCTGGTGAGGCTGTGGAGAAATAGGAATGCTCTTTTGCACTGTTGATGGGAATCTCTGAAAATATTTATTCCTTTGAATGAGTTTAGCATAGGATGTTACCCTTAAAAGGATATTTGCATTCTAGAACACAGAGAGAAAGCTGAAGTAAAACACAAAATCAGTTCCAGTGCTTACAGAATTTGGATTATAGAGTGTGATGGAATGCATTATATCTCTTCAAATTCATATGCTGAAACCCTAACCCTAAGTGGGACTGTACTTGTAAACAGGGCCTTTAAAAGAAGTAAGCACATTAAAGTGAAACTGGTAAGAGTGTGCCTTGATCCAATCTGATTGGTGTCCTTATAAGAAGTGGAAATTTGAACACACAAAGAGAAACATCAGGGGAGCTTACACACAGAGAAAATCCCATATAAGGACACAGCGAGAAAGCAGCCATGTGCAAGCTAAGGAAAGACTCCGAAGAAACCAAATGTGCTGACTCTTTGAGCTTGAACTTCTAGCCTCCAGAACTGTGTGTAAATCAATTTCTGTTATTTAAACCTCTATGTGGTATTTTGTAATGGCATGACCAGAAAACTAATACATAGATAAAATAACATTAAAAATAATCATCTTATAAGTGGTCAGTGGTAAAAATTTGTCAGCAACTTTTACCCACAATTAGACCTTTTAAAAAAATAATTTCAAAATCAGGGAAAAAATTCAGATTGATTAGTCCTCATGATTTTAAGGTTATCAGTGTCAGAACAAGGAAAGCAGGAGAATAGATAGTTATATAATGTAATAATTATAATGGCTGAGAAAAGTGAAAGACTAATTTTACTTGCTTATTCACATAAAATTTCTCAGAATGATAAAATAATGGTACTTTTATTGACAAAACTACAGAGAACTGCTATAATTGTTAAGTTACATGTGGCTACCTATATGTTACATTGGTTATCTATATATGCTTGTTATAACAATGTACTTTTTTGTATACCTCTACTTGGAAATGTATTATAGTTAAGATTCATTCATTCGACTAATATGTATTGAGTGCCTACTATGTGCCAGGCACATGTTTTAGCTAATGTTGATGAATGGTATGGATAAAGGCCTTGACACATTCATATTTAGAAAGATGGAAATAAATACATCAACAACATGCAATCTAATAGAGTTAGTAATGATAAAGATAAAACAGAATATAGAGAGTAAATAAGGGACCTATTTTCTATATGGTGGTCAAAAATGGACCCTGTGATTACAGCTGAATACAGACTTGAATAAAACGAGAAAGCAAGTAATTCACATATCTGAGGAGAAAACTCTTTAGACACAGGGACCAGAAAGTTCAGGGGCCTTCAGCCAGAAATATTATTGACATGTGTAAATGAAGTAGCAAAGATAGTTGTTTGAGGAGGTGAAAAGGAAAATAGTGAAGATCAAATTGAAGAGACAATCAAGGCCATGCAGACTGTGGCAAGAACTTTGGAACTTCTGTTTATTATCCGAAGAGGCCATTGGAAGGTTATAAACAAGATATAAACATGATCTGACCTGTGTTTTGAAAGGATTTTTCTGGATAGGGAGTGAAAATTATATTGAAAGTGAAAAGATTGTAGATATAGTAGCAGTGGTAGGACTTGGGATATATATTACATACATTAGAGCTATCCTTAACTGTATCAACTGGTCTCATTGGGTATGAGAAGAAGATCAAAGTCAAGGCCAATTTTAATATGTTTGGCCTGAGCAAGAAGGTGATATCCTTTCATGAAATGGGGATCAGTGAGAGGGGAGAAATTTACAGAGAAAAATTAAGAGTTTGGTTTTGGACCTATTAAAATTTGAGAAACCTGTGAGAAGTTTAAGAGGAAATGTTGATGAAGAGGAAGTTCGAAATAAGAGTCGAGAGTCCAGGGAATTGGTTTGGAGCTGGAGATTTTTTAAATTGAGAAGTTATTGGTAGATACAAGATATTTGCAGTCATGAGAGCTAACAGTTACCTAGGGAGGGAGTAAAGATGAAGAGCTGAAATTTAAGGATAAAATTCCAGGGATCTAGAAATTTGGAAAATTGGAAGAAGAGGTGAAGCCAGAAAAGACTAAGAAGGAGAGGTCAAGGAAGTAGGTGGGACAATAAAAGGATGTAGAATCTTGGCAACTGAGTGATGAAAAAATTCTTTAAAGAATCAGAAAGTGACTGGTAAACTGGGTCAAAAGCTAGAGATTGAGTAAAAACTGAAACTTTTCTTCATTTTAACATACTTTCGCTTTCAAGAAAATTATTACACTAAGGGGGAATAGCAGAGCAATCTATTAGTGTTGCAGAGGACAGATGTGGCTTTTTCAGATGCTCAGAAGCACCCAATAAATTTGAAGAACAGACAGGTGTTCCTGAGAACTCAGGGAAGAATTTGGCCAATGAAGGTCACAGGACACCTGTTCTGAAAATGTCCTACTGAAAATGTTCTTTAGAAGTTACAGTGTTTTCATCAAGACAATGAGATTTCACTTTATAACTTTACTCAGTGCCCAGGTTACCTAAAAAGTATTTTTTCATCTTCAAGGGAGAAAAAAACTTTGTTATTAGGTGATATAATTAGAATGTTTTAAAGAATGACATTAGTTTGCATTTCACAGCCTTACTAGGTAATATGAGAAGAAAATTCCAGTTTTATATTCTCTCGTATCTCTGAATTTCTTTCTAATTTATGGAAACAGTCTAATTTATGGAAACAGAATAATTAAATGCCCATGATAAATTTTCAAAGTTTATGACTTTCACTTGCATGGAATTAAAAATTATTTGCTGTTTTGTTAGTATTACTGTTAAGTGCCTTCCATGCTGCAGTAAGAAAACAGAAAAGTGAAATTCAAGAGCTAATCCAGGAGTATAAATGGGAAGTTTTTTTTTTATTAACTTGACAAATCTACATAAGCCATATTTAACTTCTTCAAAAGGAAAAGTATTTGAAACATGCATGTGAATCATGGGATGATATGTAAAATTTGACCAATCCACTGGGTCATTCTATGAGTTAATACTTGTCCTAAGTGTTCAGTTGTACCTGCTTAGTCTTTAAAATTATAGAGTTGTTTGAAAGGTCTAATCCATATAGATATTAAAGGAATCATTTACTTTGCAAAGTGGGCATTCCTTTTATGTGTAGAATGTACAATGAAACTGAATTTTTTGTTTATTGTAATCCATGTTTTATTTTTGGTGGTGAAATTTCTTTAGTAAATGCTTTACGGATAGTTTTGGAACAGTGCATTTTGACATCTTCCATTTATTTAAGCCACTCTTGCATTCTAAAATGTACAGTATTTATCAAGCAAAGTTGGGTAGATTTGAGGGGGCCCATAAAATTTTTGTGTTACAATGATTTTAAAGAAGAGGCTTCATAGCTTTCTTCACTGACTCATAAACTTCGAGACTGTGGTAATTTCATCCATAAAAAAATAAAATAACTTAATGCCCCAATACCATCAAATTCCTAAAATGGAATTGTATTCAATAACAGTGTTTGATTATTAACAGTAAATTGCACACACCACTGCTGTTCAATTTCAATATATTTTTTCTGATATAATTGAATAGGACCCTCATTCAGGGGACAAAATTGTGTATTATTTTTATTTGAGGAAAAAGCAGAGACCAGAAAAAGAATTATTTCAGAAAAAGTAATTTAAATATTTATATGTTTTTTTGCAATTTGATTCATTACATATTCAGTATATTTCATTAAAAAGCAAAAAAAAAACATATTTTTTTCTTCCTTAAAGAAAGCTACATAATTTTTGGGAAAGCTGTCTTGGTTTGACAATGAAAAGAAGAGCAAAAATTAAAAAATAAAATATATTGTGAAAAAAGGAGGAGTTAGAAACTAGAAAAGGGAGTGTTTAAAATACCTTAGTGCTAAAAAAATTAAAATACATATACATATATATATATATATAGCCATTACATTAGCTTACAGGTAAGAAATGAGAAAAATTCATTTTAAATTATATTACAAAAGTGGTCCTTCTTAAAACATGAAGGTGGAAGCTGAATGTTTATATGCATTATGTTCTTACAATTTATTTAATTCTGAATAACTCTGAGAGGAGGAGATTAAAGTCACTTCTCTGAGGTTGTCCTCCAATCCATTGATTTCCTAAGTGCAATTTTATAACTTAATTTCACTTACTGTACATTGAGGTCTTTGGGAAAAGGGAGGAGACTTTTCAACCCATTAATTACATTTAATAAGATACTTTGGACATGAAAAATCTTTCATAGTCCATAATAATTAAAGGTTGCCAGTAAATGTATTTGCACTCCAAATAAAAGATGTAAATTTGCTTAAAGCTCTGCTTACAACTCCAATGAATTTGGATATTTACAAAATGATCTAAATTTTACAGCCATTGTTAAAACTAGGCCAGGAACTTATTTTATAATTTCGAAGAGTAGACTACCACAATTCATCATTTGAGATAACAGGTACTTTTTCTTGGCCTGAAAATTCCTTTTGCATGTGACTTTTTGTTTGTTTTTAAAAGTCACTCAAAACAGATACTTCTGAATTATGAATAAAAACGATTTTAAATCTAATTCAGGACACTTACTTACATTTTACGTCTAAAATTAAAATGTTATAATTTGGTCAGTATTTCACAAAATTTTAATTTCATCAAACACACAGAAGGAAAAGGAAATTTCTTACCTGTCAACACACAAGGTTATTTTGTGATGCAAGAATACAGCAGTGCATGGGGGAAAGATGTAAAATAGCACTTCAACAATGCTAGAATGGAATTACAAATGTTTGGAGGCTCCGTTTTATTAATTTAAAAAAGAAAAAATAAGTTATATTTAATACCTATCCGTGTATCATGTATAATTAAAGAAAGAATTGGAGTATAATTTCAACAATATCAATCACCGAGATTTTTGTTTAAAAGGCAGGCTTACCTTTTTTGGAGACTCAAAACATGGCTGCTATATTGGAGGGTGCCAGTAGGTGGCAGTATGACTTATAGAGACATTTAGAGGAAGCAAACCGTGTGAAAGAAACCATCTCTGGAATAAATGGAATTTACTTGGTCAGAGAACCAAGACAAAACTGCATTTTTTTTGTTTTGTTTTGTTGAAGATCTTCCCAGGAAAATCTACCTACGTTACATTCTAGAATTGTTTTACGCTTGAATGGAACAGGAAAAAATTGAGGAGTAAAGAAGAAAAATTCTGTAAAGTATATACATCTGCCAAACCAGTTATTTTAATGAATACTGTCAAGTAAATCAAATACATTGTGTTTACTTTTTAAAATATTTGAATCAATAAATTCAAGTAGGCTTTAAACAGATTCAACCAAAGCCTAACATTGATAGTAAATCCTCACCTACATAAAAATAATCCATCAAATTACTATATCAGGAACAGAGCACAGAAACCCAGGTAGAAAGTAAAAGTGGCCAAAATACATATAGCTAAAATATATGTCACAAGTTCAAACAAACAGATAAGAAAAACGATTAAAAAAATTATATACTGACTCATTTACTGCCCCACTCCCCAGCACATGTGCACAAAGACAAACTTAGGACCTTCTGTATTAACCGGGATTCTCTAGAGAAACAGAACCAATAGGATAGGTGTATGTATATAAAGTGGAGTTTATTAAGGAGTATTAACTCACATGATCACAAGGTCCCACAATAAGCCATCTACAAGCTGAGGAGCAAGGAAGCCAGTCTGAGCCCCAAAGCTGAAGAACCTGGAGTCTGATGTTCCAGGGCAGGAAGCATCCAACATGGGAGAAAGATGTAGGCTGGGAAGCTAAGCCAGCCTAGTCTTTTCACATTTTTCTGCCTGCTTTATTCTGGCTGGACTGACAGCTGATTAGATGGTGCCTTTCCCAGTCCACTGACTCAAATGTTAATCTCCTTTGGCAACACCCTCACAGACACACCCAGGAACAACACTGTGCATCCTTCAATCCAATCAAGTTGACACTTATTATTAACCATCATACCCTCGCTAATAAATTTAGTTTTCTTAACTCTCAGTGAATAGAAAGAAACCAAATAGGTGAAGAAATTATTGAAGAAACATCCACTATTACCCATGTGGTGATGACTAACAGCTAGGGAAGAAACTGAAGGACTCTATAAAACTACACACATCGGGCGGATCATGAGGTTAGGAGATCGAGACCATCCTGGCTAACAGGGTGAAACCCCGTCTCTACTAAAAACACAAAACATCAGCCGGGCGTGGTGGCGGGCGCCTGTAGTCCCAGCTACTCGGGAGGCTGAGGCAGGAGAATGACGTGAACCTGGGAGGTGGAGCTTGCAATAAGCCGAGATCATGCCACTAACACTCCAGCCTGGGCGACTCCGTCTCAAAAAAAATAAATAAATAAAAAATAAGTAACTACACACATACATATGACACATACACATATGTACATACAGGTATATACACAAATTTAAAATATTCATTTTAGTCTGGGGTAAATCAGTATAGTATAAAATAAAACTGTATACCTCAATGGTTCCTTTTGATATCACTATATTAAAACACAGCAAAACGAATGTCTATAATAATGATAGTGAATACAATTATATGCTATGTATAATTTTAGAAAAAAAATCTGCCATGTATTTGATAAATGGTTTCAATTTAAAATGACTCAAATAGAACTTTGACATATAATAAGTAAAAAACTAATATTTAATATGTGTCAAGCAGAATGCTGAGTGCCTTATAAAACAATTTGATTGCCAAAACCAGCCTATTTGGCACTTATTTTTAATCTCCATTTTATGAATAAGGAGTATAAGCTCAGCAAATTTAAGAAACATCAGTGTTGGCACTGCTATTGAGGTGACACAACTGGTACTCAAAACCAGACTTAACTTAGAGATGCTGCTTCCACCACACTGTGGCATTTTAATGACTGGAATAGTCACTTACATAGAGTGCTACAAAATCTAGAATTAAGCATTAGTGCACTTGGTCAGATCAGAGTTTCATTATCAACTTGACAAAAGCATATTTAAATAGAGAAAGGGAAAGTGCTATTACCATTCTGAATGCTGTGCCACATTTTTGTTCAAAGGATATATGGAGGCCATTTGTCCCTGTGTTAAGTAACCTGAAAGTACCTTTGCTCTGAATGTCCATTTCTGTTGATTTATAATATTTATTTGCTTGGTTTCAAATTTCCTTTCAGATTTATTTCGCTTTCTTCTATTGTCCTGTTGTGACTACCCTCTATCAACCTCTTCCTTTCTTACCTAAATTCTAACCTATTATAATTTAAGCAACCAATTGGCAAATCAAATTCATTGGAAATTGGTCTTATAAAAATACAGAATTTATGATTGAATGTCTATGTGGTTTCCTATAAGTGAAGTACTGTATAAATTATAGTCACTCAATTTTAGGACATCTACTTCATTTAGAGATGTTTTCTTTTTTTTTTCTGAATTCTCAACTATGTCTTGGATATTTGAGTATCCTTCAGAATGAGGATTTCCATTTACTTCTCTAACATAACATTTCTAATGTCTTGCAACCTTTTCTCAGATGAAATTCATAAGTTAAACAGATTTTTAAACTTAAATGCTTTTGGAAACTGGTTAAAACCCCATATGACCTCTAGGTAAAAAATTCCATACTAGTAAATCAATTGCCAAAATTTCTAAGACTTATGTTTTACTGGCTCGATACATATTGTGCTTTTCATGTTTAACTGAAGCCACAAATCAACACTGTATCAACACTGTAGAAAAAATAAATTAAAAGTAATGTGGGTTTGTTTTTTAATTCATCACTTAATGACAATAATTTGTCTCTATATGGTACTTTTCCCTAAATTATGTTGGAAGAATTGTTAATACATTCTTCTACATTCCTATCTATGTATCTTTTAGAAAGATGACAAATGTCATTATACCAATAATACACCAGATGAATAGAATGTTCAAAGAAGAAGTTACAATTTAGAGGAGTCATTTCTAAATTGGTGGTATACTAGTTAAAAATCCAAGTAAATGCCTACAGGGCAAATTTTGCAGATCAATGGAATGAAAATAAATAGCTCCAACAGAAAGAAGCTACAGGTAAACCATAGATGTTGCTGTCAACACTGACATTGTACTGTGTCCCCTTAAATGTAAAAGCCAACAACTTCACAGCTGTCTTGCTCTAACAGGCTAGTTGCTAATTATGCAATATTCTATACGATTTTAGTACTTTTGTTAGAATAAATAACCATATTGGCTTCTTGCAACCACATAATCTGTTATTGAGTTGTGGTATATTTTTTAAAATAATATTCTCCCACTTCAGCTCTCAAAATGGTTAGTAGTTGTTCTTTTATTTAATAAATCAGATAAAACTTGCAGTACCAAAGTCATATTCTACATTTCTACCATCTTCTTTCCTATCTTGAAGAAGTATAACATTTTCAAAGCAGCCTTAGGTAGAAAGAGAGCAGTCAGGAAACGAGATCTTAGAATCTAGACCAGCTCTGCCTTTAATGAGTTCTATGACCATGGCCAAATCACTTAACCTTTCTGAACCCCATATTTGTAGTCTGGAAAACGAAGGAGTTGGAGGAAGTTATATCTAAGGCCTCTTCCACTTCTACAACTCTCTGATTCTTTGTATAGGATATCAAAGTGGGTCACCAGTGTTAGGATTCCTGGGTTTTCCTTTTAATATGTTCTAAGATTAGAATAGGTGATATATATCTTTCCTAAAATAAATTGGCAGATCTATATTTGAGTGAATAACTTCTAGATTTTTTAAAAAAATCGTTTTTCAGAAATCTTTTTTATCATAGATGTCAGATGACTAAATATTTGTGGTGTATATATATATATACACATACATATATACACATATATATACATATATATATATATACATACACACACACACACACACATATATATATATGATGGAGTCTCACTTTGTCACCCAGGCTGGAGTGCAGTGGCACCATCTCAGCTCACTGCAACCTTCACCTCCCGGGTCCAAGCGATTTTCTGCCTCAACCTCCTGAGTAGCTGGGACTACAGGGATGCGCCACAACGCCCAACTAATTTTTGTACTTTTTTTTTAGTAGAAACGGGGTGAAATAATATTTTTATATAGTCAGTCTTGTTCATAGGAAAGTAATAATGGCTTTGCAACTTAACCAATCAGGTAAGTGCATTTATGGTTCACATGAATATTATATCTCATTATCCTGTACATATTTTTTCCTCCTGTAAGTTTTCTTCCTGATCCTTATATAAACTAGCCATCCCACCAAAACCAGTAATAAGATTGTTTATCTACTAAACTCTATAACTCCGAACTCAATTTTCGTTAGTAAATTGAAAATCTGTAAGAATAAAAAATTATTTTGAAACTAGCACACTCTTTTTTAAAAATCAGTTTACCTAAAATAGTACATTTTATTCATATGTTGTATGTTTGAAAGGTGCAAATTGGATGCTTAGAGATAGTAACATAATACTTATCAAGTTAGAAATATGAAATCTTATACATGTTTTGTCTTCTACCTCTTTGATTATATATGTGGCTTTAATAAAAGATGTATATCATGTGTATCACATCAGGAAAAACTCTGACCTATGTGAATCAAGGGTCCCTCGTTTTTTTTTCTTTCTCCCCCCCCCCCCCCCCCAGTTCTTAGTGTCTAGGATCTATGTGTACTAGGGCTAGTCATTTGAGATTTCATGTATCAAATGAAGGACTAAATTATCCTTAAGGTTCTTGCTCATTCTTATTTCCATATAAGGACACTTCTTATTCAGTGCAGTTTGTATCGTAAATCTTATTCTAGCGAAGGGGAGAAGAAAGAGCAAGAGTAACAGAGAGACCCAGAGAGGTGTCACGTTTCTTATGTACTTCCCCATTCATTCACTACCTTAAATTGGAACATTAAGAGCCATTTACTCATGGACTCACTTTTCTCATATTCAATCCAAAAACAAAGCTAAGTAAGGATATATACCAGCTATATGTATATTTAATTAAACTCAAATAGAGATTTTAAGCATTTTAAAAAGACATGTTTTTTTACCAATCAAA
Organism: Homo sapiens; assembly: GCF_000001405.40. Taxonomy (NCBI): domain Eukaryota; kingdom Metazoa; phylum Chordata; class Mammalia; order Primates; family Hominidae; genus Homo; species Homo sapiens. The sequence goes on from NC_000003.12 coordinate 104,569,343, forward strand.
ATAATTTTATTGGATATCAAGGGAAAACAAAAGCAAAACTGGATTAAATGATTGAATAGTTGAAGGACACCTGAAAAGGGTTGCCAGCCTAAAACAGAGGAAAGCATTATTCTGTAAAGTCGTCGCAGGAACTGGCATCATTATAGTGTTCCAGTAAACATGGAAATGTACCCAAGAAAGATAATGATGTTTAAGAATGAATCCCTCTTTGCTCTGTTTCCAAAGCGTTCATATTAAATTTCACCTGATGTCAAGTGCTTGGTAATTAATATCAGTGTGTTTTTGCAATAAATCGGTAACCTCAGTTCAGAGAAGACCTAAGGCTTACAGGAAAGATAGACTTGATCGATGCCATGTCCTTAGTACAAAACTGGAATTATAACTCAGCGATGTTTCTTATTCTTCTAGATAAGGAAAAACATTTATTGTGATGAAGAGAATCATAAGAACACATACATATGGGACACGCGAACATCTATCTACTAAGGCAGCTAAAATGAAAGAGGAAGATGGAGAGAATGAATTAGCCAAAAACCACTTTGAGTTTGACACAATGAGTTTCTTCTTCAATTACAGTAGAATAAGTACAGTTTTGTGTTTAACAATGGAATACATTCTGAGAACTGCATCATTAGACGATTTTGTCATTCTGCAAACATCACGGAGTGTACTTACACCAATTCAATGGTATAGCCTACTACACACCTAGGCTATGTGCTACATCCTATTGATCCAAGCCAGAAACATGCACAGCATACTACTGTACTAAATACTGTGGACAATTGTAACACAATGGTAAGTACTTTTATAGCTAAACGTATCTAAATATAGAACAAGTACAGTAAAAATATGTATTGTAATCTTATGAGATCATCATTCTATATGTGGTCAGTCATTGGCCAAAACATTGTTAGGCAGCACCCAACTGTAAATGGAAAGGGATGTGTGTGTCAGTGGGGGTGGTGGTGAATATAAGTGATAACAAGACCACAAAGAATTTTAGCTTTGAATGGATATCAAAGTTAGACTTTACATGAGGGGTTTCTTTCTTACCTTATTATGTAGAAATACAGCGTGCCTAATTTTGTTTTCTTTTTCTCTTTAGATACCTTACATTTTCAGAGCCAAAGGAAATCAGAAGTTTGTAGTAGTGTAATGTATAAATCAGTATATTTAACAGTCAATATATTGGTGATGAGAAAACTATAGGTTCAGAACATCTCAACTATTAATGATTAACGACTTAGGAAAATAATTTGGTTTTGCTGAGCCTTATGCTCCTCACCTGTTTTATTTAAAGTCTCTACCTGCACTGCAGGTTTGAAACAAGACACAAGTATGATGATTATGTGAAATGCACTGTATAGCAGAAAGCACAATATGTATACAAGGTAGTATTATTACCAGAATGTCCTGAGTTTTGACAAGCATCTGACATGAAACCTGAATTTTCCAGATAATGACTATGAAGTCCCACCTGTCATTGGATATGCAGATGTTTAAAATATAGTTAATGATTCATAAGATGCGGTACTGATTAAACCTCTAATTAGGTGTCTTCTAATTTTAGGCTAATGATGACTCTTCCAGCCCTTAGGTCTTTTCTCCTTCTGTTTCACCACTTATAGAACTGACTTAAAATTAACAACAGGAAAATCAGTGAAGTCTTTTTAGTTTATATTTATTTTTAATTTTTCTTAGTAGAGTGTAAAATTTCTGCTGCATCACTAACCATCATAATAAAAAGGTACAATTTTGTCCATTTGAAATACAGGAGACACTGAAAAACCAGTCTTCATACATTTAATCTAGAAATTATCTATTATAACCTGGCATTTTTACAACAAAAGTAGTGAACTGGTAGACTTTTTACACTGCTTTTAATCATGTCAACAAAAACATGTCCCAAATAATTTGTTAGAAATTTATAAATGATAAAATACAATTTGAGTTTTAGAATGACAACCACTAATAGAAAATAAATTATTTAGCTTAATAAACTTTTAAAATCACTATTTAAAATGTAATATTTAAAGAGAGTAAGAAGGAAACTTCTTGAGGGTACACAATTCTGCTTTCCAACAGCTCAGAATAATCCCAGCAATGAAACCTTCAAAGTATCATCATCCAAATGTTAAATGATGTAGAAAGTATAATATTTTTACACTGATTAGGAATATAATTGGTTTTGGGGGTCTTAAAAAATAATTTCAACTTTTATTTTAGATTCAGGGCATATATGTACAGATTTTTAACCTGGGTATATTGAATGACACTGAGGTTTGGGGTATGACTTACCCCATCACCCAGGTCCTGAGCATAGTAACCAATAGTTTTTCAACCCTCGTCCTTATCCCTGCCTCCCCCCCAACCTTAGTACTGACTGTCAATTACTGCCATTGTCATATCCATGAGTAACCATTTATTAGCTTCCATATATAAGTGAGAGCATACAGTATTTAATTTTCCGTTCCTGCATTAATTTTTTTGGGATAATAGCATCCGGCTGCATCCATGTTGCTGCAAAAGACATGATTCCATTCTTTATAAAGGCTGTATAGTATTCTATAGTTGATATGTACCACGTTTTCTTTATTTAATCCACCACTGATGGGCACCTTGGTGGATTCCATGTCTTTTCTACTGTGAAAAGTACTGTAATGAATGTGCAAGCTCATGTGTCATTTTTGGTAGAAGATTTATTTATTTCTTTTTTTTTTTTCTGGATATATGTACCCAGTAATAGGATTACTACATTGATAGTTCTATTTTAAGTTCTTTAAGAAATCTTCAAACTGCTTTCTACAGTGGCTGAACTAGTTTATATTTCCAACAACAGTTATGGGCATTCCTTTTTCTCCACAGCCTCACCAGCATCTGTTGTTTTTTGAATTTTTAATAATAGCAATTCTGACTGGTGTTTGATGGTATTTCATTGTAGTTTTGATTCACATTTCTGTGATGGTTAGTGATGTTGAACATTTATTCACATTTATGGGCCACTTGTATGTCTTCTTTTGAGAAGCATCTGTTCATATCCTTTGCTGATTTTAGTGGGGTTATTTGTTTTTGCTTGTTCGATAGTTTAAGTTCCTTAAAGATTCTGGACATTAGACCTTTGTGGAATGTATATATTGAAAATACTTTCTCCCATCTGTAGGTTGTCCACTTACTCTGTGGATACTTTCTTTTGCCATGCAGAAGTCCTTTAGTTTAATTAGGATCCACTTGTAAATGTTTGCTTTTGTTGCAATTTCTTTTGAGGACTTAGTCATAAATTCTTTCCCAAGGCTGAGGTCAGGAATGATATTTCCTAGGTTTTCTTCTAGGTTTCTTATAGTTTGATATCTTAAATTTTTCATCTATCTCGAGTTAATTTTTGTGTATGGTGAAAGATAGGAGTCCAGTTTCATTCTTCTGCAAATAGCTAGCTAGCTATATCAGAATAAGTTATTGAATTGGGAGTCATTCCCCATTGCTTATTTTTGTTGACTTTGTCAAAGATCAGATGGCTATAGGAGAGTGGCATTACTTTTCTCAAAGACTTTGTTCATTTTTTAAAATTATTTTCTTTTTACTTTTTGTCTGACTGAGTTAGTTCAAAAGACTGGTCTTCAAGCTCTGAAATTATTTTTTCTACTTTGCCCAGTCCATTGATAAAGCTTGCAATTGTATTTTGAAATTCCTTAAGTGAATTATTCAATTCCAGAAGCTCTCATTAATTTGTTTTTAAGATGTTTACATCTTCCTTCATTTTCTGGATCACTTTTTTTAAAAAACATTATTTTATTTTATTTTAAGTTCTGGGATACATGTGCAGGACGTGCAGGTTTGTGACATAGGTAAACGTTTGCCATGGTGGTTTGCCGCACCTATCAACCCATCACTTAGGTATTAAGCTCCACATGCATTAGCTATTTAGCTATTTATCCTGATGCTCTCCCTCCTTCCACACTCCCCTGACAGGCCCCAGTGTGTGTTGTTCCCCTTCTGTGCCCATGTGTTCTTATTGTTCAACTCCCACTTATAAGTGAGAACATAGCCGGGTGCAGTGGTTCACGCCTGTAATACCAGCACTTTGGGATGCCCAGGTAGGCAGATCACCTGAGGTTGGGAGTTTGAGACCAGCCTGACCAACATCAAGAAACCCCATCTGTACTAAAAATACAAAATTAGCCGGGCGTGGCAGTGCATGCCTGTAATCCCAGCTACTCAGGAGGGTGAGGTAGGAAAGTTGCTTAAACCCGGGAGGCAAAGGTTGCAGTGAGCTGAGATTGTGCCATTGCACTCCAGCCTGGGTAACAAGGGAAAAACTCCACCTCAGAAAAAAAAAAAAAAAAGGAAAAAAAAATGAGAACATGCAGTGTTTGGTTTTCTTTCTTTCTTCTTTCATTTTTTCCTTTTTTCTTTTTTTTTTGAGATGGGATCTTGCTGTGTCACCCAGGCTGGAGTACAATGGCATGATCTCGACTCACTGCAAACTTTGCCTCCCAGGTTCAAGCGATTCTCCTGCCTCAGACTCCCAGGTAGCTGGGACTACAGGCATGTGCCCCCACACCAGGCTAATTTTTGTACTTTTAGTAGAGATGGGGTTTCGCCACGTTGGCCAGGCTGGTCTCAAACTCCTGACCTAAGGTGATCTGCCCCCTTGGTCTCCCAAAGTGCTAGGATTACAGCCATCAGCCACTGCACCCAGCCTGTTTCTGTGTTTGCTGAGGATAATGGCTTCCAGCTCCATCCATCTCACTCCTTTTTATGGCTGCGTAGTATTCCATGGTATATATGTAGCACTTTTTCTTTATCCAGTCTATTATTGATGGACATTTGGGTTGATTCCATGTCTTTGCTATTGTAAATAGTGCTACAGTGAACATATGTGTGCATATATCTTTATAGTACAATGATTTATATTCTTTTGGGTATATACTCAGTAATGGAATTGCTTGGTCAAATGGTATTACTGGTTTTAGGTATTTGAGAAATCACCACTCTATCTTCCACAATGGTTGAACTAATTTACATTTCTACCAACAGTGTAAAAGTGTTTCTATTTCTCCACAGCCTCACCAGCATCTATTGTTTCTTGACTTTTTAATAATCACCATTCTGACTGGTGTGAGATGGTATCTCATTGAAGTTTTGATTTGTATTTCTCTAATGATGAGTGATGTTGAGCTTTTCTAAATATGTTTGTTGTCCACATAAATGTCTTCTTTTCAGAAATGTCTGTTCATGTCCTTTGCCCAATTTGTAATGGTGTTGTTTGTTTTTTCTTATAATTTTTTTAAGTTCCTTGTAGGTTCTGCATATTAGACCTTTGTCAGATGGATAGACGGCAAAATTTCTCCCTCATTCTACAGGTTTTCTGTTTATTCTGATTATTTCTTTTGCTGTGCAGAAGCTCTTTACTTTAATTAGTTCCCATTTGTCATTTTTTGCTTTTGTTGAAACTGCTTTTGACACTTTCGTCATGAAATTTTTGCCTGTGTCTATATCCTGAATGGTATTGTCTAGATGTTTTTCTGGGATTTTTACAGTTTTGGGTTTTACATTTAGGCCTTTAATCCATCTTGAGTTAATTTTTGTATAAGGTATAAGGAAGGGTTCAAGTTTCAATTTTTGGCATATGGCTGGCCAGTTCTCCCAGCATCATTTATTAAATAGAAAATTTGTTCCCCATTGCTAGTTTTTGTCATGTTTGCCCAAGATCAGATGGTTGTAGATGTGCAGTCTTACTTCTGAAATCTCTATTCTGCTCTATTTGTCTATGTGTCTGTTTTGGTACCAGGGCCATGCTGTTTTGATTACTGTGGTTACTGTAGCCTTGTAATATAATTTGAAATCAGGTAATCTGATGCTTTCAGCTTTGTTCTTTTTGCTTAGGATTGTCTTGGCTATACAGGCTCTTTTTTTGTTCAATATGAATTTTAAAATACATTTTCTAAATCTGTAAAAAATGTCAGTGGTACTTTAATGGGAATAGCATTGGATTGATAAATTACTTTGGACAGTATGGCCATTTTCACGATAGTGATTCTTCCTGTCCATGAGCATTGAAAGTTTTTCCATTTGTTTGTGTTCTCACTGATTTCCTTGAGCAGTGGTTTGCAATTCTCCTTGAAAAGGTCCTTCACTTCCCTTGTTAGCTGTATTCCTGAGTATTTTATTCTTTGTAGCAGTTGTGAATGAGAGTTCATTCATGATTTGGCTGTCTGCTTGGCTATTGTTGCTGTATAGCAAGGCTTGTGATTTTTGCACTTTGATTTTGTATCCTGAGAATTTGCTGAAGCGCTTATCATCTTAAGCTTTTGGGCTGAGATGGTGAGGTTTTCTCAATATAGGATCATGTCATCTGCAAACAGAGGAAGTTTTACTTTTTCTCTTCCTATTTGAGTATCTTTATTTCTTTCTCTTGCCTGATTGCCCTGGCAGCAGTGATGGATGCTGCCCCTCCCCCCAGAAACTGTCATCTTAGGCAGCCAGCAGCTGCAGTGATGATGGCCACTCTTCCCCCAGGGAACTCGGTAGTCTTAGGCAGTCCCCAGCTGAGTGGCTGCTGAGAATCTGCACAGCTCTGTGCTTGGGAACTAGACCCTTGTGGCATGGGATCACAAAGGGGATTTCCTGATTTTTGAGTTGCACAGATCCTTGGAAAGGGTGTGGTTTCTTGGGTGGGGTAGCACAATCACTCATTGCCTCCCTTGCCTGGGGATGGGAGCACCCCTTGCCCCATGTGGCTCCCAGGTGAGCCATTGCACCACCCTGCTTTTCCTCACTCTCCATGGGTTACACCAACCAGCCCGTTAGTCCCAGTGAGAGAACCTGGATACCTCAGTTGCCAGTGTGGGATTCACTTACTGTTTTCGTTATCTCAGTGGGCCTGGATTGCTCTCAAAGTTTTTTTGTGTTGATTTTTCAACCTTGTTTTTGATCTAGTTAAGCTTCCTTGTAATCCATGCTTTGAAATCTTTATCTGTCATTTCTTAGTTTCCATTTTGGTTACAGGCTGTGGTTGGAGATCTAGTGTGATCCTTTGGTGGTGTCATTGCATTCACAACTTTTTATGCTGCCAGAATTCTTGTATACAGAATTCTTCTATAGCCCTATGTGCTTTTTTTGAAAGTTTTTATACTTTCAATGTGTATTTCAATCTACAAGCTAGTAGAAGGTACTTATACAAAAGAACATAAGCAGCCAATGTGGCTGAGTATATACTTGTTATTGGGAGAAGCTCTCTGTTGCCTCAGGCTGATTCATGGAATGAACATTGATCTGAGATCCCTTCTCAGCCTTGAGGTGTAGCTGGGGGCAAGATGGGTGGAGCCAGACCAAGCAGGAGAGCCTATAGGTCCCCCAAAGGCAGGTGCCAGCACCAGTTCTAAGCAAGAATACAGTAGGTAGACACCAAGCAAAGCACACAGAGGTGTGCCTAGGCATGTAATTTGGAAACCTCCTCAGCCCAATCACTCTGTATGGGGACTGGGGTGGCCAAAACTCCTAATCCAAGATAGTGGGTGCTCAAGATGCCTGGAGATCTGCCTGGTTGTGGAGCATGGAGGGCCACACTGCACCATAATCTATGCCTAGGAAGGGTGGGGTGGCTCAGGCTGCTGAGCCAGGTGAACTGGTACTCTGAATGCCTAGAGATTTACCTGAGCATGACCATGCACAGGATCTCTGCACTTGAAGTGTGGGGCAATCAGGTTGGTAATCCATGCAAGGAGGTGCTCCAGATTTCTGGAGATCTCCCTACATGTGGAGTGAAGAGGGTCCCACTGCACCATGATCTATGCACAGGAAGGGTGGGATAGCTCAGGCTGCTGATCCAGACAAGAGGGTGCTCTGAATACCTGAAGATCTGGATGGGTATGGAACAGAATGGATGCCAACTACATCACAATCTCAGTGGACTAGGCTGGGGTGCCCAGGCATGACACATGCAGACCAGTTCCAGGTCACCAAGCTGGCCCTGGCTACAAATCTCATTGTCCAGGAGAAACCACAGCTTTAGCAGCATTCTTCCCATGGAAATCCTGTTACAGGGGAGAGCACAATTCCAGTGCCTATTGCTGAGAATTTTTCTGCTGTTCAGCCTGGGGAGACCCCTATCCCACTCACTCAAGAATAGGAGATCCAATCTCTGGCCTGAGACTAAAATTCCTATGTGGCCATGCTCACCAAAGAATGCTGACTTTATATGTGCCCAGATTAAAAATGGAGTCCTACACTCAATCACAGATCTGAGGAAATGTCTACATTTTTACCCAGTGTCTTTGCATCACAGTATCTCCAGACCTTCCCCTAAGTTAGCTCCAGGGGTTAGGAGAAACAAAGTGCTCTCATACTGGGTGTATTAGTCCATTTTCATATTGCTATAAAGAACAGCCTGAGACTGGGTAATTTACAAAGGAAAGAAGTTTAATTGACTCACAATTTAGTATGGCTAGAGAGGAATGAGGAAACTTACAATCATGGCAAAAGGCGAAGGGAAAGCAAGACACCTTCTTCACAAGGCAGCAGAAAGGAGAAGTGCTGAGAGAAGGGAAAGAGCCCTTTATAAAACCATCAGATCTCATGGGAATTCACTCACTATTACAAAACCAGCATGGGGAAACTGCCCCCATGATTCAATTATCTCCACATTGTCTTTCCCTTGACATATGGGGATTATGAGGATTATGGGAACTACAATTCAAGATGAAATTTTGGTGGGGACACAATGCATAACCATATCATTCTGCCCCTGGGCCCTCTCAAATCTCATGTCCCTTTTACATTTCAAAACCAATCATGCCTTCCTAACAGTCCACCAAAGTCTTAATTCATTTCAGCATTAACCCAAAAGTCCAAGTCCAAAGTCTTTTTTGAGACAAAGCAAGTCCCTTCTGCCTATGAGCCTGTAAAATCACAAGTAAGTTATTTACTTCCTAGATAAAATGGGTGTACAGAAATTGGGTTAATACACCCATTCCAAATGGGAGAAATTGGCCAAAACAAAGGGACTATGGGTCCCAAGCAAGTCCAAAATCCAGTGGGGCAGTCATATCTTAAAGCTTCAAAATGATCTCCTTTGACTCTGTCTCACATCCAGGTCATGCTGATGCAAGAGGTGGGCTTCCATGGTCTTGGGCAGCTCCACCAATGTGGCTCTTTAGGGTACAGCTCCCCTACTGGCTGCTTTCACAGGCTGATGTTGAGTGTCTGAGGATTATCCAGGTACACAGTGCTAAATGTCAGTGGACCTACCATTCTGGGTTCTGGAAAATGGTAGCCCTCTTATCACAGCTCCACTGGGCATTGCCCCAGTGGGGACTGTGTGTGGGGGCTCCAACCCCCACATTTCCCTGCTGCACTGCCCTAGCATAGGTTCTCTCTGAGGTCTCCACCCCCGCAGCAAACTTCTGCCAGGACATCCAGGCGTTTTCATACATCCTCTGAAATCTAGATGAAGGTTTTCAAACTTTAGTTCTTGTCTTCCACGTACTGGCAGGACCAACACCATATGGAAGCCACCAAGGCTTAAAGCTTGCACCCTCTGAGCTGTACATTGCCCCCTTTTGGCTATGACTGGGATGCAGGGCACTAAGTCCCCAGACTGCACAAAGCAGCAAGGCCCTGGGCCCAGCCAATGAGACCATTTTATTTTTTTTGCCTAGGCCTCTGGAATTTTAATGGGAGGGGCTACTGTGAAGACTTCTGATGTGCTCTGGAGACATTGCTTCCATTGTCTTGGTAATTAACATTTAACTCCTTGTTACTTATGCAAATTTTTGCAGCTGGCTTGACTTTCCCCCCAGAAAATGGGTTTTTCTTTTCTATAGCACTGCCAGGCTTAACATTTTCCAAACTTTTATGCTGTGTTTCCCTTTTAAACGTAAGATCCAATTACAAATCATATCTTTGTGAATGCATAAAACTACATTCTTTTAAGAGCATACAAACCATAAGAGCATAATCCCCATATGCTTTGTGTTTAGAAATTTCTTCTGCCAGATACCCTAAATCATCTCTCTCAAGTTCAAAGTTCCACAGAACTCTAGGGCAGGGGCAAAATGCCACCAGTCTCTTTGCTAAAACATGACAAGAGTCACCTTTATTCCAGTTCCCAACAATTCTTCATCTCCATCTGAGACCACCTCAGCTTGGACTTTATTGATTATATCACTATCAGCATTTTGGTCAAAGTCAAATCTCTAGGAAGTTCCAAACTTTCCCACATCTTCCTGTCTTTTTCTGAGCCCTCCAAACTGTTCCAACCTCTTCCTGTTACCCAGTTCCAAAGTCACTTTCACATTTTCCAGTATCTTTACATCAGCATCCCACTCTACCAGTATCAATTTCCTGAATTTGTCCATGAAATACTGCTATAAATAACTGCTCAAGACTAGGTGATTTACAAAGGAAAGAGGTTTTATTGACTCACAGTTAAGCATGGCTGGGGAAGGCTCAGAAAACTTATAATCATGAGAGAAGGGGCAGGGGAAGCAAGGTACCTTTTTCCCAAGGCAGCAGCAAGGAGAAGTGCTGAGAGAAAGAGCAAGAACCCCTTATAAAACCATCAGACCTCATGAGAACTCACTGACTATCATGAGAACAGCATGGGGGAAGCTGCCCCCATGATTCAATTATGTCCACCTGGTCTCTCCTTTGAGATGTGGGGATTATGGGGATTACAATTCAAGATGAGATTTGAGTGGGGACACAAAGCCTAACCATATCAATGGGAGATGTGAGAGAGGCAGGGAGCCTCCTTCTGTGACTTACCTTTCCACTGGGGATCTGAGCTTTATTAGCCAGATGCCATCACGGGAGCTATTTGCCTCCATTTTCCTCCACAGATTCTGGGCTGTCCTTCATGATTCTGATGGATTATCATTCTCTTCCTTGAATTAAAGCCCACAGAGTTTATCCTTATGTGCTATATTGCTATTTTAAGTGGTGAGGCATGCTAAAAGCCTCTAATCTGCCATCTTGGGAAAAAATGCTGTATATTTAGTTTTTATACAGGTCTTGATTTTGTAATGCAGATCCCAGAGCTGTGAATGAAAAGTAGCTCTTAATTATTTTATATAATTAAACTAATTCCAGCTCGTATATCTTTCACCTCATTTCTACATCAGAATAGTAACTTTTTAATTAAAGAGGCAGGAAAAGATTATATGCTATTCTTACACATTTATAATCATCTTATGTAAAGAAAGATACAAAGGAACAATGGTTTCTGAATTTCAAATAAAATAAAAACTAAAATTATTCATAGGTTGCAGAGTTTATTATTTAAATTACAGGTAATATAGATTTTAAAATTCATATTATTGAAAAATTATTTACAGCCACAATTCTTCTGTACAAGGTGAGAAATATAAATAAAAACATACTGGCCATTTTCTGACACTCTTATTCTAAATGTAGAGATATTTTAAATATTTCCTTCAGTATTAAAGATGGTTCAAGGTGTTACAAATATTGATGAACTGACAAACTTGGGACATGTCCTTTTATGTAATATAGATATAATTAATATATTTTTAGAAGTGATGTATGTAGCATTCATTAAGCAACTCTTGGCCTTCCTCATCTTTCTTGCCTCAGATTCTCTTAGTGAGTCTTTATATAATGCTTTGAGCTTTTGCAATCTATGGAAAAAGATGACCACTACTTTCTGAAGTTTCTGTCACTACTAATAAATATCACCAGTGCCTCAACAGAGGATCTCTTCACCCAGGCTTTGTTTTGACCTATCTGGATAAAGAGATTGCATTTTCAAGACATTTCTCCACAAAGAAGTTATTTGTAGTTGATTTTGGTTTGTTCTAATGTCGACATTGACAGAGCTTTTACATAATTTCTCTTATCTTGTGGTAATTTATTCCTATACATGTTTAAAGAAAGAGACACTGTAGTCTGCGCAGTCCTATTCAGGGAAAAGGAGTAACTTTTTATGCTCAAGCTATGGCCTTCCCGGGCACTGCTAAATCCCAATATCGTGGCTAGAATCTATTGCCAGTATGCATGTCTTATTGCCACTATCATGGACTCATTCTTTTCCTCATGTCTATCCAGGACTAGATATTCAGGGATGTGAAACGTACCTGCTTGGCTGAGGAAACCACGCATAAGCTTCTATAATTGTAAGAACTATAGAGGACAGAGAAGCTCAAGTAAACAATCTTTTCAAATTTAAAAATTTTTTTCATCAAGGAGAATCCAAAACAGAATTTATATTAGAAAAAAACCTTTAAAAATTATAAAACATGTGAAGAGACTCATGATTTATAACAAAACCAAGGGAAAACGTGAGGAAAGAAATCTCTACATCATAAGGATGAGATAAGACAGTAGTTGAAGTAAAAACTGGTTTCGTTAAGTTGTACCCTTCTGTCTTTTTTTGGTATAAAATACATCTAAAATCTAAAATATAATAACTTGTAAAATTTGTTTTATAAACTATACATTGTCTGTTAAAATGCAACATCTTCTCATGCTGGCTGGTAAATTGCAGTCATAATTTTAGGCACACTTTCTTGCTACTTTTTCAATAGAAAAGATATGACAATAAGGTCACTAATTTCCTTAAAGTTATGAAATGTGAGGCAATACTGTATTATGATCAGACATACCAAATTTACTAGTTTAATGACAGAAACTGCCTTGTTTTCTTAGTTGTAAATGGTTAAGTTACCTACGTTTCTCAGGACACAGAAGCCTACAGATAAACACAGGATCATGAAATCATTCTCTAGCTCTGCTTTTCTTTCTTCAGGAACTAAAACCCTTTCAAAATTCTCCTGAAATATCAGAGAGCTTGCATGGTGTCACATTCTCAGCTAATCAGTAAATTAGACCCCTCAGCTAAACTATGGCAATGAACATTTCCAACTTCCTCAATTTTGGTCCCATGTGATACCATGACCACTAGAAAAAAAAATGGCAATATCTGCTGAATTTTATTTCATGCAAACTTAACTCAAGAAACTGACTTACTTAGTCATGGGTGTCATGGGAACCAGGAGAGGTTTCTCAGAAAAGGGAGAAGTAACCTGAGACAAGAATAATGAGTAATAACAGGTTTCTACTTCAGAAATATAGAAGAATAAGTGTTTTGATTGGATCTTCTTCAATAGTGTAAGAGTATTATAGATTTTGTGCCATAATAATTACTTTTTAAAGTTGATTGAGCTTGCAAGAACGTCAGAAAAATCTTCAAGAGTCAAAAATAAATAAAAAACTAGAAAGTGCTGTTTCTCTAGAGCCAATTAATTGTATCTATACTGTGAGATATGGAAACAACCACCAGACATTCTTTAGGTATTAACAAGTAAAATTGTCAAAAAATATAGTTTTCAAAATTAAAATCTCTATTACATGATTAAACAAAAAGTTAAACACAATTGTTTTGTACTATTAGGGAATTATATGTTGAATCTGAAAAAATAAAATTACCTAAACTGCAGTAGAGAGAAATAAAAATATTGAAAAATAAAATGTGTGTGTACATGTGAACACATGTATGATGGAATAAGAAAAGTTCTCTCTAATAAGATTCCTATAAGAAGAAAGTAGAGAAAATAAAAGAGAGGTAACATGCAGGTTAAGAATACAACAAAGCTAATGAAAGACATGAATCCATAGGTATTGAAGCAGGTAAATACCAAAAGCGACAATCATAAGAAAATATGTTTTCAAACAAGAGAAGACAAAACTATGGGCTAACTATCCTGCATAACATGTCAGAGAAAGTACAAAGGAATACATTCAAAATGGCAGATGGAAGGAGAGAATAAAGAAAATATGAGAAGGCGTAAGCTACCACAATAAAGATATTTTATGAAGGTGGAAAATATCTTGGCAACCAAATACACATAAAATAATTATTTGTCCTAATTTATAATGAAATGCTTAAATAAGTGCATAAAACATGAATATACCAACAACAAAAAAAAGCTCTTCACAGAGGAGAAAAGTGAATGGCCATTTAGCATGGGAAAAGCTGTTCAATTTAATTAGCATTCAGGAAAACATAAATTAAGGCCTAACAGATACAATTTTATACCCATTAGATTGGCAAAATTGAAAATTTGGCAAATACTAAGTATGGATATGGGTATGGAGAAGTGAGAAACTTTAGACATAGCTGGTGGGAATTTAATCGATGTAACTTTGGAAAACAATTTGACATTATCTTGTAAAATTGAATATGCCCATGTTGTACAAATCAACAATTCCTCACCTAAATACAGTGTTTAAAGAGATAATTTTGCATATGTGTATCTGTAGACTTATAAATAAAATGTCAGGACAGCATTATTTATAATAACAACAATCGAAATGGAAAAAATCATCAACAGAATATGATTAAATAATTTGTAGTATATTTATACCTGTAGAATATGGTATGTCACTGAAACTACATGAATAGGTCACATGATGGATAGGCCATAATAAAGTAAGTTGCAGAAAAAAATTACATATAATAACATTTATAATCCTAGGACTAAAGAAAACTACACCATAAAAGACAAGAAACTGATAAACACGAAAGTCAGAATATGGGGTATTTTCTAGCGAAGAAGGTATTGAGATACAGAGGAATATTGTCACTCTATTGGTAATACCTTATTTTGCTAGTGTGTTGGGTTTTGGCTCAATAATTTGCTGTATTATTCTATTTTATTGCTTTTGTTTTATTTTTGTTATATGTATTATTCTTTTTTTCTTATGTATTTTCTTTTTCTAGATTAATTATTGAAGTACAAACAAAGAATTATTTGGAACTGTACACATTAAGAGAGAAACGAAGTGGACAGTAAGCCAAAAATATTCAATGGCTACAAATTCAGGGCCAATATACAGGAAACATTAAGGTTCCAATTATGTTGTTGCTCACTGTAGGAGCATCTGCTCTCTATATTCCATGTGTCAAAGGAAAATATATCTGAGTTAAAGGTCCTGACCCCTTCCACTGGAATTGCCAATGTTGATGATATTCTGAGGGTTGCCCAGTAGAATGCAGGATACCCAGTTAAATTTGAATTTCGGAGGAACAATCAATAGTTATTTTTAGTATAGGTATGGCCTCAAATATTACATAGGACTTACTTAAAAAGTATATGTATGTGAGAGATATAAAAATATATCATGTTTGTATATATGTACATAAGTGAAATACATATTTATTTCTCTCTCTCTCTCCCCATACACACACACACACACACACACACACACACACACACACACATATATATGTATTGCTTATCTTAAATTTAACTGGGTATTCTGTATTTTTATTTAGTAAATCTGGCAACACAATTTATGCCCCACACATTCACATCTGAAGTTACTACTTCCTGTCTCTGAAGAACGTGTTTACTTGAATGCTACTTATGTTTCGCACTCTTAAGTTCTTTTAGTCTACACTATGTTTTTTACAGCCTTTAAAAAAATAATTCAGGAATGATGCCAGAAAACCATGAATGACTGAGAGCACATTGTATATCACACAGCCCTGCTTCTGACTCTCTGTGAATCAAAATCATGTGCCAGACTCCCCTTCTCTTAGGTTGAATTCTTTCCCAGGAATCTCCCAGAGCTCCTACGCAAATAGAACAATTGAAGGACTTGCTATTGCGTTCCTTCAGACATACCCACCCATGCCTAAGCCCTTCAGTAAATAAAAACCTAAGTTCCATGCGAGACCCAAGTGAAATTAAACATTGAATTGATGAAGAGCTACAATGATTCCTAGCAGAGTTTGGAATTCTTAACGAACATTAATTATAAAACTTACAAGAAGTCCCTTGTCAAGATGTAAACTGTTTTTTTGAATTTCTGGTCATATTCTTTTGTGTGTTCTTTTTACACATAGTGAATCAGATAAACAGAACAATTAAAATTGTATAATTTAAAATTCAATATACGTTTTTTATTTCAGTTTGATTTCCTTTAGATGTAGGTGACATTTGTTCTCCAATAGAACATTTTCAATTTTTTTCAAAGTGTTCTAAAACCAAGATTTAAAAACAACAAGCAACCACAAAGTATACTAAATTATGGAAAATTAATAACCTAGAAATATTGGACAGAAGAACAAAATCTTGTTTTTCTGTGAAATTGTACTTTCAGCTTCACTGTGTCAGTTTTGTGATTACATATGAATTGAAACCAGTATATTGATTATGTAAGTTCTTTACTTGTTTCTATTTATATCCTCTTGATAATTCCTTCTATGTGTTCCTTCCCTGTGTAGTCTTGCTTATATTTGGATACATCAACATAAAAAAGTAGAATGTTAGCAGGCAGAATATAATAGCACATATTCCTAAACAATGTAAGAGGAACTCTGCTAAACATTAAAATTGAAAAATGTAGTAAAATTTTATACAGTTTAAAATATACTTTCAAATATATTTATGTTATGTTTCTGTCCTTGGGCATTTGAGTATTGAATAGTCTATATATAAGGTGTTATAATTGTCATATCTTTTTAGGAAATCAATTGCCATGATACTAGAAATACCTCCTTCAGAAATACCTATTTGGCACAGGATGCCAAAGAATTTTCTACTGAACTTGTGGGTCTTGGCTGGGGAATAAACAATTTTTTTTTTGAGATGGAGTCTTGCTCTGTCCCCCAGGCTGGAGTGCAGTGGCACGATCTTGCCTCACTGCAACCTCTGCCTCCCAGGTTCAAGTGATTCTCCTGCCTCAGCCTCCTGAGTAGCTGGGATTACAGGTGCCCGCCACCAGGCCTGGCTAATTTTTTAATTTTTTTTAGTAGAGATGGGGTTTCACCACCTTGGCCAGGCTGGTCTTGAACTCCTGTCATGATCCACCCACTTCAGTCTTCCAAAGCGCTGGGATTACAGGTGTGAACCACTGTGCCCAGCCGCAAATGTTTTAACAACTAAATGTTTATACTACGTTTGTTGTAGAACTTCAACAACAATTAATCAAGGGGACTAAATCATCTTTTTGCTTTTGTAACCCAGAAAACAGAGACAGACTATGATCATATGAACCACTTAAACATGCAAAATTTGCTTAAATGAAAACCTGAGTTAGTATAATCAGAATCTGTGTGCCTGATTGATTCTACCTCAGTAAGAAAGCTTATAAAATGTATTTTGAAAGAATTACTAGATTGGTTGATAAGGGAAATGCATTAGACAAATTTAATTTAATAAGATATTTTCATGAGATTAAAGCTCAAGTAGGGTTGGATGATATTTCAATTAGATGGATTTCAAACTGATTGAATAGTGGTATTCAAATAATGTTGGGTAGAGGACAAATGTCAGTCTGTAAAGCATTTCACAGAGTTCTGACCTTGAATATGTTTTGTTCACTATCAATAACATGAATGGAAAATGACATAAATCAAGGAAAAAACAACTTAATTTATAGTATGATAAAGTAAGGTTTCCAACCCATCTCGATAAGAGTGGTGAGCCATATCTTGCAAGATGACATGCAATAGATGTTCACATCTAAAAACTCAAATGCAGTAGAATAGTACCTTACTGATGAAAGGTAAAGAAATTCAATGTGAGTTTCAATTATAAAAATGTTAATGCAATTATATATTACATTACATTACTGTAATCTCTTGATTAAAGAATGAGATGGGCCTTTTCCTATCAGTTGCTCAACTAGTTCCAGAATGATGTGTTTTATACACACACACACACAGAAATACACTATAAAGGATATAACAAGGATGGTAAAATTGTAACAAAAAATTCTGCCTGAGGAAGAGTTAGTTATAGATACTGGTAATATCTAGTCATTAAAATTTTTCAAACTGAAGAACAGACGATAAAATATGTTTTCAAATGTCTGGAGCACCATGATACAAAAGAATTCTATTTTAAAGAAAATGTAGAAGGCACTTCTGGTTTCCAATCCTGTATGTAAGATGCTTGGAAGTCACCACTTCATCCTAATAAGTAAAACTCTGAAAATACTGAAAACTCAATAACTTTTCTTAGATCTGTAAGAGAAGTGAGGTCACAGGGTAAACCTCTGCCACACAAAAAGGGTAAAGACTGACAGGAGAATACAGAGAATCACAACTTACTGCAGCAGAAACCAATGAGCCGAAATCTTTGTGGGAACCAATGCTGAGGAGGAAAACCTCAATTGTGATTATCAAATAGCCGAAGGCTCACTGTGGACAAGTCAAACAGCTAAGAACTCTAGAAAGACCCAATTACCTGCCTTACTGTTGTATTTTACCTCCTAGAGCTCTACTAGGTTCTCAGAAAAATATTTCCTTGTCCTTCTGATTGCGGCCAGGGGTTTTGAAATACTCAGAGGACTCTATTCTAAGGTCTGCTCTCGGGGAAAATATTTAGCCAGAGCTTCACTGCTCAGATTTTATCAGCTTCAAATTGACGTGGAGGAAGGGAAATACCAAACTCCAACCTACTTTAGACCTCCTGTCTCACTTAAAATGAGTGGAGGGGCCCTGAGAAGCAAGTGTGAAGTTCACTTTCCAGAGGCACAGGCTCCCTAAAAGACTGAGACCTCATTATAGACTACGGAACACCTTTCCTCTCACCAAACCTCACTACCGCATTACTAAAGCCCTATTTAAAACAGTTCTTTTTATCCAGTATACCATGTAAAGATATCAACGAAAACTTACAAAACAAACTCAGCAGCAGAAAAGCACAGTTTGAAGAAACAGAGCAAGCATCAAACCACATTTAGGTATGGGAAGAATGCTGAGATTTAAAAACAACTATGCTTGGTAAGGGCTATAATGGATAAAGTAGAGAGGATGGAAGGACAGATAGTTAAGGGGAGTAAGTAGATGGAAACTCTAGGAAGAAACCAAAAAGATAGTAAAGATTAAAAAAAACTGTATCAGAAATCAGGGTGACTTACATGGTCTTATTAATAGAGCGAATGTGGCTGAGGAAAGAATCTCAGAACTTAAGGATATCTCAGGAGAAACCTCAACAACAGAAAAACAAAGAGGAAAAAAAAAACTGAACAAAATATCCAAGGATTGTGGGGCACCTACAAAATGTATGCCATATGTGTAATGGGAGTATCAGAAGGAAAAATCAAGAAGGAAAAAAAAAACAGAAAAAAAATTGGAAAAAATAATGACTGAGAATTTCCTCAAATTAATATCAGATTAAAAAAATCCCCACAGATCCAGGAAGTTCAATAGAAAAACAAGCAGTAAAAATATGAAAATAAAACTACACCTAGGCATATCATTTATAAAGTACACAAAATCAAGGATTAAAAAAAAAATTCACGGTCAGGTGTGGTGACTCATGCCTGTAATCCCAGCACTTTACAGGGGGCGAGGCAGGGAATCTGAAGCTGGGAGTATCAGACCAGCCTGGGAAACAAAGTGAGACCTAAGATCTACAAAAAGTAAAAAATAAAATACATTAGCCAGGAACAATAGTAGCCCGTCCCTGTAGTCCCAGCTATTCAGGAAGCTGAAGTGGGAGTATTGCTTGAGCTCAGGAGTTCAAGGATGCAGTCAGCTGTAATCACATCACTGCAATCCAGCTTGGGTGACAGAGTGAGACCTGATCTCATTAAAAATAATAATAATAATAATTGAATTTTAAAAATCCTGAAAGAAGACTAGAAAAAAAATCAACAAATCAACAAATTTACTTGTTATAAAAAGAACAAAGATAAGAATTACATCTGACTTTTCCTCACAAACCATGTCAGCAAGAAAAGAGTGAAGTTAACTCTTTAAAGCATTGGGAAAGAGAGAGAGAGAGAGATAGAGAGAGAAAGAGAGAGAAAACCCACCAAGCCAGAATTCTATAACCTGTGAAATTTTTCTTCAAAAGTGAAGAGGGGCCGGGTGCCGTGGCTCACATCTGTAATTCCAGCACTTTGGGAGGCTGAGGTGGGTAGATCACTTGAGGCCAGGAGTTCTAGACCAGCATGGCGAAACCCCATCTCTACTAAAAATACATCTCTACTAGAAATATAAAAATTAGCTGGGCGTGGTGGTGTGCACCTGTAATGCCAGCTACTAGGGAGGTTGAGTTAGGAGAATTGCTTGAACCCAGGAGGCAGAGTTTGCAGTGAGCCAAGATTGCGCCACTGTACCCCAGCCTGGACAAAAGAGCAAGACTCTTATCTAAAAAAAAAAAAAAAAAAAAAAAAAAAGTGAAGAGGTAATAAAGTCTCTCTCAAACAAACAAAAATTGAAGGGATTGGCTGCCAGTGGAACTTTCTTGCGAAAAATGTTAAAAGAAGTTCTTTAGAGAAGGAAAATGATATAGTTCAAAAACTCATCCATGTAAAAAAAGGAAGAGTGTCAGGGAAGAAATAAATGAAAGTAAAATAAAAACTTACTTTTTTCTTATTTTTAATTAATCTATCAATAACCATGGATAGAGAATAACATTCATCAATGATAAACGACTGGATATTTAGTATGATAAAATCAGATTCAACTAAGATCAGAAACAAGGTGAGGATATGGTCTCTCGCCACTGCTTTTTGAAATTGCACTGAAAGTCCTAGCTAATGCAATAAAGCAAGAAAAGAAAAAGTATTCACATTAGAAAGGAAGAAATAAAGATGCCCTTGTTTGCAGATGACATGATTATCTATATAGAAAATCTGAAAGAATCGATAAATGTTCTTGGAACTAATAAGCAATTTTTATAGAGCTGTAGGACACAAGGTTAACATACAAATTTCAATCACTTTCCTATATACCAGCAATAAAGAAGTAGAACTTGAAATTAATAGTACCATATACATTAGCACACCTAAAAATAAAATAGTTGGAATAGATCTAACAAAATAGGAATAAGATCTACATGAGAAAAACAAAACTCAGAGAAAATAACTCAAAGAAGAACTAAATAAATAAAGATATTCCATGTTCATCAACAAGAAGACAGTATTGTCAAGATGTCAGATCTTCTCTACTTGGTTTGTTGAGTTAATGAAATCCAAATCGAAATTTCAGCATAATATTTTGTGGATATCAAAAAGCTGATTCAAAACTTTTTATTTTGAGATAAAAGACCCAGAATAACCTACACAATACTGGAGAAGAAAAATAAAAGTTGAAGGATTGACACTACCCAAATTCAAGTCTTACTATAAAGGTACAGTAATCAAGACACTGTGGTATCAGTGAAAGACAGACAAATATGTCAATGGAACAAAATAGAGAGCCCAGAAATAGACCCACGTAAATATAATCAACTGTCCTTTGGAAAAGGAACAAAGGCAATACTATAGGGAAAATGATTTTTAATAAATGATGCTGAAACAACTGGGCATTCACATGAAAAAAAAATTGCATCTAGATACAGACCTTAAACCCTTCACAAAAATAAACTTTAAGTGAATCATAGAACTAAATGTAAAACATAAAACTGTCAAAGACTTACAAGAAAACATAGAAATCTAGATGATCTTGGGTTTGGTGTTCATTTTTTGTATACAACAATAAACACATGATCTATGAGAGAAAGAATTGATAAGCCAGATTTCATTAACATTTTAAAAATTCTGCTCTGTCAAAGTCATTGATGAGAGAATAAAAAGGCAAGCCACAGACTGAAAAAAAAAATTTGCAAAAGACATATCTGATAAAAGACTGTTATCCAAAACATACAATTAAGAAGTCTTAAAACTCAAACATGAGAAAAAAAAAAAAAAAGACAAGTCAACTAAAAACACAGGCCAAAGACCTTAAAAGACACCACACCAAAAAACAAGATGTACAGATGGCAAATAAGCATATGAAAAGATACTTTGCATCATATGTTATCAGAGAAATACAAATTAAAACAGCAAAGAGATACCACTACACAACTCTTAGAATTGTCATTGTCCAGAATACCAGCAACAGTAGATGTTGGCAAGGTTGTGGAGAAACAGGAATTCTATTTCATCGCTGGTGGGAATGAAAAATGGTACAGCCACTTTGGAAGACAGTTTGGTGGTTTCATACAAAGATAAATGTGCTCTTACCACATGATACAGCAATCATGCCCCCACGGTATTAACCCGAAGGATTTGAAAGCTTATGTACACACAAAAATCTGTGCATGGATGTTTATAGCCGCTTTATTCATAATTGTCAAAACTTGGAAGAAACTAAAATGTCCTTCGGTAGGTGAAAAATAAACTGTAATATATCCAGACAATGGAATATTATGCAGTGCTACAAATACATGAGGTATCAAGTCATAAAAACACAGAAATGTAACTTTAACATCTATTACTAAGTGAAAGAAGCCAATCTGAATAGTCTACATACTGTATGATTTCAGTGCCATAACATTCTGGAAAAGGCAAAATCATGGAGCAGTAAAAAGATCAGTGGTTGTTAGTAGTTAGAAGGGAGGGAAGGATACATAGATGGAGCAGAGGGGCTATTTAGGGAAGTGAAATCACTTTGTATGATACTATAATAGTGGATATAAGTTTTTATAAATTTGTCCAAACCTATAGAATGTACATCAAGAGTAAACCCTAATGTAGGTTGTGGAGTCTGGGTGATAATGGTGTGTCAGTTTAGGTTCCTCAATTATAATAAATGCACCACTATGGCGGAGGATGTTTATAATGTGGGAGGCTATGCAAGTGTGGGGGCTGGGGGCATATGGAAAATCTCCGTGCCTTCTGTTCAATTTTGCTGTGAGCCTATTAAAACCGCTTTAAAAATAAAATCTATAAAAAATGCATGATGTCAGTGAGTAAAACTAGGGCCAAAATGCAAGTCTACATTGACACAGATTTTCACTCTATATAAGGAAAATATGAAAGTCTAATTGGCTATTCTGTTTTTGGTTATCCTTGTTCCTTAACCATGCTCTAAATGATTATTTGTTTGGGATGTTGTAGAGATTTCAGATATTAGATAATAAAATGATCTAAAGGACATTTAAAATCATTCCAAGCCCTGACTTAATGAAGGTAGAGTCATTATTTAACTAGATCTCACACGTATTTTTATCTTATCTTTCAGCACCGTTTTTGAGTGTTTTATATTTTTAACACTTACTGGAGCATAATAGATATTCCAAGAAATTTCCAAAACTTCAAATGGATGCCAGCTCATTAGTTATACATGATTCTGCTTTAGTCAATATAATATGTTGATAAAGGGAGACATAACTTTTTTCTCACCTAAATGATATTTTCCTTGAGGTCCATGTTGTATGTATGTTATCATCAAAAATGATAGACTATCTCAGGAAACAATATACCAAGACAGAAGAGCTTCAGAGGAAGTGGATGTGAAAGCAAACTAAAAAGACCAATGTTAAACATAAAAGCATGATAAGAGGAAAGAAACACAAAAAAAATCATCAAAGACAAAAGAGTACAGTGGAAGAAAATACCATCAAAGAATAAGAGGGGATTAAAATTGAAAGAGGAAGAAACCATCAAAAGGGAGAGAATATGACACAATAGGTCAATGCAACTCACATCAAGTGACTGGAGCACATCTGAAAACAACTGGAAAAGTGAAACTCATGAGAAACACTACAT
Source organism: Homo sapiens (assembly GCF_000001405.40). NCBI lineage: Eukaryota > Metazoa > Chordata > Mammalia > Primates > Hominidae > Homo > Homo sapiens. Next base: position 104,592,854 of record NC_000003.12, read on the forward strand.
TACATTAGAAACTGCATTAAAATTAAACCAGTCACCATAAAGGAATATAATTTTAATAGGAAAAAGTAGCCCTACAAAGGAAAGGGCCTCTTCAATGGGAATTTACAACAGGAGCTCTAAAAGCCCATGATACAGATAATGTGTCCCATAAACAAAGGGACGCTGCAGAAAACATGCCAAGGCCAATCCACAGGCAAAAAGGAGGAAGGACAGTGTTGGGTACAAAAACAGCACTGTGAAAACAGTGATAATAAAGAGAGAAGGAAGGTGGAGTTGGAAAGAGCTTTAGTGAATTACTGAAATATAACCTTTTTACCCAGAATACAAAAAAAAATCTGAGGGAGTGAATCTCTGTCTCTCAGACATACGAGTGTATGTCTCTCCTGTAGTGTATGTCTCTCTCGTAGACACATACACATGCATGCACACACACACACAAACACCCTACACTAGAACAATCTATCCCTTCATTTAAACTGCATTCTGAAGTCCGAATTATCACTAGTTACCTAGCTAAGGCAGAGAACTATAACCATCTTCTCATCATAACCAAGCTCCATTGTGAAACCTTAAACTTGGGGGATGATTCCAACTCCCCAAGCAAGTCGATGCTATACATGAATGTAATCTATCCGTCAATTACTAAATTAAGTCTCAAATTACTATTCTGTTTCTGTTATTATGGGCCTCTAAAAAACTTGAAACACAAAGTGAGTGTTTAGAAAAATATGTAATAAAGCTCTTTTTTTTGAACCTTTACAATACAGAATGGTTGTCTTATGCTGCTTCTAAATCTGTCTCAGTGTTTTAGATAGAGTCCAAGATCTAAAAACTAAACACCCTTTAGTATTTAACCTCCCTATTAGAAGCATATACATAACCTCAACAAGCAGAATTATATGGTGCCCTTATCAATGACCTTAACAGTGTTCGTGAGAATGTAAGGAAATACACATTTGCATACACTATCGACAAAAAAATAATTCATACAAATAATCTGGAGAACTATTTGGCAAAGCCTTTAGAAATTTGAATCAAAACCTTTAGAAGTCCTTAACTTGTTTAACTTAGCAACTTTCCTTTTAGGGATTTATAAAGACAATCAGTTAAGTGTACAGAGACATATATAAGGGACATACACTACAGGGTAGTTTATGTTAACATAATGAAAACAATCTAAATGTCAATTGAAAGGGGACAAGTTAAATAAATCATGATATGTTTGTGGATAGAATAGTATGTAGCCTTTCCAAATGATGGAAGTGAAGCAAAGTAATTGCTGTAGCGTTATGTCTATGCTAATGTATTGGGGGAAAAGATGCATGCTATTAAGCAGTTCAATAACATCATCTTATTTTGTGATTGAAGAGACATTTTGTTTCTTGTATATGCAAAGGACAAGTCTGTAAAGTCTGGAACACAAATAAATCCATGCTATCAGTCTACTTTTAAATATTTTCTGAACATCTAAAATTGATTCTGTCTTACTTCTGTAATCAGGAAAAAAATTGTCATATTCATTTGATAAAATATGAAAATGCCATCAGAGATTCATTTGTTTTGACAGAAGGAAGCAAGTAATTTGAAGAGAGATACTGGATATTTTAGATGAATTCTAAAATGGAAATATAGGATTAATATGTTTTTACCTTTGTAATAAATAGAGAAGGGTTGGCGGTATGAAAGAACATATTCTAAAAGCAATGAGACCATATCTTCAGTGGCTGACATAAAAAACCATGTTTTATAGAATGTAGCAATGATAACTGGGTACACATGGATTCCATTTTAACTGTGTTTCAATAAATGCTTAGAAATATAGCTGGGAAAACTCTGTCAGAATCTATTAGTGGTTTCACTAACATAAATGTTAAAAACTTATTCCAGATGTTAGGATAAGTTGAATCTATTATCAGATTCCCTTGCCCAAATTGTTGAGATATTTACTTTTAGATTCCACGGCACATCATCCTACATTAGCTCATGTTTTAACTGCTATTATTCTTATTAACTTTTCAAATAATAGTATAATTAAATTTTAAAATTATGTAACTTAAATTATGATATCTAGTTACAGATATGTATTTGTATATACATAGGTAAATTTCACTTAGTAAACTTGTAATTTGTAAATGATCTCTGAAATCATGACTGTTATATTCTCTCCTATTAACTTCAGAGTTAAGAACCTTCACATTCTTGAAGTTACAGGCAAAGTAAAGAAAAGGTCCTACAGCGCTTGAGAAAGAATTACATTTTATTTGACTAAAATGAACCCTGTTAAATTATAAAGTGATTTTCTCCTTTCATGAGACTCTTTTGTAAGTTTTCATTTCAATTTTCAAAAGTGAGAACTATTATGCCCAATTATATCAAAAGAGTTTATAATTATTTTTAAATGCCTGAGTGTACATTAGTAAATAATGAAAGCATTTATAGCTCTCTTGCTTTTTAGTAAAGACATATATACATATATTCTTTCCTCCATATATATGTATGTGTGTATGTGTAGAAAATATTGTGATAATATAGATCATATATGTGTGTGTATATATGTCATACATATATACACACACATACATGGCAATCATATAGAACATGTCTTTATGACATGATCTATAAATCATACAGATCATATGTCTTTATGACCTATATACACATATATATGATCTATATGATTGCCATGTATGTATGTGTGTACATATGTCCATATATATGAAATATATATATATGAAATATTTTGATCTTTCATTTAAGTGGCTGGAAATAAATATTGAATGTCTATACTGAAAAAAATGATCTTAGGTTATATTGTTCTCAGAAAATGGGGCCCATTAGAAAAAAATATGAGAAATTAAATAAAACACTAACAAAAATAGATATTAGAAATTAAATAACACACTAACAGAAGGGTGAGCTGAAAAGGTCAGAAGCAGGGCAAAAAAGGGTAAATTATTGTCAAAGAGACATACAAGAGGAATAAGAAATAATAAGAGCATGAGAGGATCTAATATTAATTGATTTGAATTAAAGAACCCATCAGGACTCCTTTCATATGTTCTGGGGACCTAAGATCAAATCCATTTTTATTGAAGTATTTTCCCCTTTAATTCTTTTACTATCAAATAGGACCATCCCATTTAAACAAGTATCCTTTTTTATCTTTGGTCACTAGCTATTCACAATTTTCTTACCTAATATATAGGATCTTTAAGGTTTTTGACAGGGTGAAAGACATAAACAATACTCTTGATGCCAAAGTGTGAAATTATACCTAGTTCAATCTGTTTACTTTTGAATATTCACTTGTGAGCCCTGGACATACCAAGAGGCTGAGTATTCGCAGGCAAAATATAAGCAGAGGCCTCAGGGTCTGAATTAAAGATTGGGTCATTCTTTTTCTGTGTATATGGATGGGTGTGTGTGAGTGTTTGTATTGGTGTGATTTTCTGTGATTTGAGTTGCCATAGTGAGCACAGAGGGTTCACAGTGTTGTCACAGGGAAATAATTATAATACGTTGAAATGAGAAACAGGTAACATTTTTTTCTCATGATTTTTATTACTCTTGCTTAAAACATTTTTTTTTACCTGTGTTGGAATTGTTCCCAATATTGCTTTAGTATTGCTGGCATTAATTAGTAAAAACAAACTCTCACACAATTCTGTCTCTGTCATTGCTACCTTGCCTAGAACCACAAATTCTCTGGGTCATCAAAAAGAGAGGTTGTGATATTGCTAAAATGCCCTTCAAACTGTATACATCCTCTGAGGTGAGGTGTTATTAGCTCTTTTTGTCTTTAGGAAATTAAGAATTTTCTTAAAATTCTCAACTTTTATGTTGCTGTCCACCCCATGATGCCAGCTCACCTTCTTAAGCCAAAGCAATGTAATTCTTAGTCATCCAGCAGGTGGAGTTAGGTCGCCTAATCTCCACTAAATCGCAAAGAAAATGCTGAGAGGATGCTGATGTGTAACAGCCTGGCCTACACAGATAGAAATGCCTGTGTTTCTATACCAGGAAAGTTTAAATCATTCTGTTCCCTCTTTCTTGAACTGATTGAAAAATCTGTGATAGCTTGATCATTAGCCCTAAAATATTTATTTGAATGCTCTCCAAGTCAGCCCTATCTAATCTATCAGAGTAAAGAACAGAAAAAGAGGGGCATTTCTTGTTTCTGCTAATTCTTGAGCTCTTCTTTTTTTATGAGAATGCATTATGTGTCCGTTTAGAAAACAATGTTACCACATATCCATAAATCCAGGAACATATGAATGTAAATAGAGTCACACTAGCTCATAAGACAGAAACAAACCCGCACCTAGCATTCATCCCTGTCACTAATCAACACATATCTTCCACATGGGGCCCAAAGCATCTAGATTTTTACTACCAACGAACCCAAATGCTATTTATGTAGTGTGTGTTCTGAGGTGGAGTGGAAAGATGTGCACCCAGCTGGGGGTAAGATGCTTAAAGACAAAGAAGACAATGAAACTCACGTGCATTCTGGAGTAAACGCTATATAGGAGCCTGGTAAGAGTAATGAATTAACTTCTAACAAGAGCTTTTGAATAGAAACAGCATCTCCCAAATGTTTCTTAAGAAACTACCATAACTCCATGGTTTAAACACTTCTGATTTATTGCCTCTGCTCATCTTAAGGCTACTGTAGAGGACAATATGTAAAATATGCTCATGGGACCTAAGAAATTATCTGGTACAGGCCCAGGAAAACAAAAGAAGAAAGATTTAATTACAGAAGGTATATAATCTAAGTTTTATTGCCTCTAGCTGCTTCCTTAGCAGTGCTTTGTACATAATAATAGCTTATTCTATTTTTCCCACTGGGGAGGCAGAAAATAAAGTTAATATCATCCTTCTATCAGAAACATTAAGGCAAATTCATTCATTCTGAAATCTTATTCCTGGTGTATGTGAAGTTGGGGGTTAGATATGGAATACAGAGGAAATGAATATAGAGAAAGTAATTAATATTGCTTTATAATTTTTTCATATATATATTTCTATATACATAAAATATGTATAACATACTTGGCCAAAAACATTGTTCCAGCATCATTAATTCTTTAGAGGAAGGCATTTTATTTACATAGTGAGGAAGCCAGAATTCTCCTATATTGGTTGCACTAAGAGTTCATGTCCAGCACTAACATAAACTCAGGATATGGACAAACATGGCTGACGGGACCGTAAGAGTATCTAGGAGAAAGCTAAACTGCAACGACAACCTGAGTAATGTGAGTTTTCATCCAGGTCACCCATATAAGATCTAAAACCTAGAATATTTGGCCTAAGTTAGGGGAAGGAACAAAGTTCACATGACAATACTTTAAAAGATGTGACAGACAATTTGATTGTGTTCTTTTACATCTTAACCTTTATACAAAGGAGTTTTGTCATTATAGCAATTCAAAGAAAGAAAAACAACTAGAATGGACATAATTGAACAGAAATCGGAGAGGAGAGGTTTACTTATAGGTGAATAGTTTAAACAGAATTTAAACAGTTTATCAGTAAGTATTCTTGTCAGCAGACTGTTCTGAAACTTCTTGGCACAGATTTTTCCCTGTTCTCTTCCTGCTGCCTCCTATTAGATAGCTTCCTCTTCTTTATCCAGACAACTACTCCCTACAGCCTCTTTCTTTGCTTTGCTCATTGGATGGTGTGTATTTCTTCTAAAGAGATTACACTGGAGACTTGTTTCATTCACCTTCTAGGCACATGACATGACTTTCACCTTTAGCGAGCTTTCATAATGCTTTTAGCTGTGGAAAGTTACACAAACTAATTTATGTCTAAGGAAGCAAATAGATTAACTTAATGCCCTACAAAGGATATTATATGGCATTCAAAGGCATTCTTCAACAACATTAGGAAGACAATTTAAAAATGAATCTTCCCATTTCAGGGAAGGCTATGATTTTATTCAAATGAAATTTGGTACATTATCTATCCAATGGAGATCTCCAGGATTTGGAATTGCATACTGTAGTTAGTGTTAACCTTCATTTAATGACAATCAGCCAATGCAGAAAATGGGAAAATAGGGATGGCATTTTATGTGGCTTGATATTTTTGTGTTGGAAGACACTGTTTTCAATCAACAGGTGTGGTCTTCTAGGTCTGTTCTTACAAGAACTTCTGGCTGCTGTCCAGGTTACTCATAAGCTGCACCTGTCAGACACCAAAGTCTTCCATCTACCCCTCGAAGAGAAAAAGAGAGTGAGTAAGAGTGTTTTGACTCTTTCATTCTTTTATGAGTTTCAATTTAAAATGTTTATTTTATTCACACAGAGGCCCAGATTTCTTTCAGAGAACAAACTCATTACCAATGTCAGAACTCGCAAAACCTGCTGTTGGGTCTGAAACACACAAGTTTACCTATCAGCTTCCTCCCCCGCCTCCTACACCCACCCACTTTCAACCTGTTTCCAATATACACCAAACCTTCTCATAGAGCTTTGGCAGGGACCTGCTTTATGCATTGCTGTAGTTCAAACAGAGCAGAACAACAAACAAAGAATCTTTTTCCCGCACGTAACCATGAGTGGGGAAAATTATTCCCCTAAAGGACACACCCTGAAAAACAACAGTAAAGAAGATGGAATAAAGCGAACAGATTACTGCTTAAAAGCTCACACACCCTACCACATTTAAACTTTTCCCTCTCTTGCTGAGCAGCATTTTTTGTGTTGTAGCCTTATCTTTGTCAGTAAATTTTCCAGTGGCATTCCAAAAAAAAAAAAAAAAAAAAAAAAAAAAAAAGCACAAGATCAGACATTGGAGAAGAGATGCTGTAAGTTATAAAGAATAAAAGGGACAATAGAAATGCATTTCTGTAAGTAAAATCTTTAGTTCTACATTTGGCTTATGATCTCAAAGAAACTACAGTTTCATAGAGAACAGAGAACATATGTCCAACGTATCATGTAGCTCATTTTCCCACCCCTAACAGATCAATACCGATGGGATTTATTCTTATAGCCCCTGGACAGAGTTGATCCAGTACCTTTTTTTCTACATTTTTTCTTCTGGTGATCCCATCTTATAAAAATCCTCTGGCTTCTGACAAGTGTTCCAAATTCAACTGGATAGCAGCTTTAGTCGAATTCATCTGTCATAGACACTGAAAGGCATTTTTGTGTCTTGTCTTCGGTAAAATATGTTGCCAGGATGGTGGCTGGTGGCACCATGTCAAGTTTCCTGCCTTTTGCCTTCAAGTCCCTACCTTTGGCCATACTCTAATTTGAGCAGGTGAGTGATTTAGCAAGATTTTGGTCTACCGTTTTCTTGTTGTGAGTGGATCAGTTAACAAGGCCTGCAATTATCTCCCCACCAAACAACCTCAGTAATTACCACCAAGCACTCTGAAGCATTTAGATAACACCTTTCTTTTAGTGAAGGAAAAGTCCTAGGACTTTTTAAATGGTGTCAGATTTAGTATTATGTATCATATTAAATGAATGGGAAGGTGTAATTACTGTTGTTTTTTGCTGTTAAATTAATCGTCTTTACCTAGCCTCAATTTAAAATCAAGGTATGTAAATGACCTTTATGTTGGATATTTAGATACAATGTAGTCTTCAAATTAGAAACAAGGCCTTCATTAATTTCCAGGCACAGAAATCTTTTCTATGCATTGTTTGGGCCTTTCATTTCTGTGAAGTCATTTTAGACAATACCAGGTCTTTTCTGAAGAGAAATAGTTTTGTAAAAGCCAAGTGACATAAATCAAAAAGAAAAGGTAGCTATCTTCATCTGAAACTGTCAAGAAAAATTCTGGTCAATTTACAAGAGGGTGATTATAGCAAGGCCACTAAGAAATGACTTCTAGAAATTAAATATACCCATTTAGTTAAAGCATGATTTTGTAACTACTGAGTATTAGTGGCAAAGTTAAACTGAGTGCATTTTTACGATAAGTTTAATAATTGGACTGGGGAAATGTGGAGATGTAGAAAGATAGAGCTCCGGAGGAAAAAGGAGAGGCTGGGAGATGTGGAAGAAGAAAGATGTAAATAAATCCATGGACACTAACACCTATTCTATATTCAATCACATTTATAAAATAAAAATCAGAAACTTCTACACCTTTCTGCTCTTTCCTTGCACTTATTAAAAAAAATACAAAAACATTTCATGTCTAATGACTTAACCTTGCCAAACATAGTTCTCTATTTACCAATAACAGGATAGTATAATTATTATTATATATTATCTGTGTACATTATTTTACTCTGCTTCAAAAAGATATCAACAAAATGATAATTTTTTCAAGATTTTAAAAGATTGATGAGTCCTAGCTAGTTACACAAGAACAAAAAGTTTTCATTTGTTTTTCCGAACATATAAAAATATAACATTAAATAACAAGGGCCATTTATGGTATTAAGAAAAATAAAACTCTTGGTACTATAAATTATTTTTATAATTGTGATCACCTATATCACCTTTCTTTTTATATGTAAGCCTGTCAAATCGTGCTCATTTGTGTACCTAAATTGCAATGTATAGCATCTTACCATATGATATTCCTGTCTGGCTCAGAGAACCTGCTAACTCCCTAGGGCTCAATAAAATCTTATTTGTCTCATCTAATGAAAGGATTTCAAGCCAAAACCCTCAAGCCAAAAACAATGTGATAGTACTCTCTAAACTCTGGACATTTCAGTACAATAATTCCTTTAGAAAAGACAAAAAATAGGAGGCTTCTCTTCCCTGTTCCTGTCTTTGCAGTGTTGCTGATCAAAGACAGGAAGCTGAGTGTCTAGGAATACCTTAGTAGACTGGATTTATGACGAATACTTTATTCTTGCTATTTTTGGTTATGAGAATTTGGAACTCTAAATCTATAGAAACAACACTACTAATAATATTTAAATCCAAAAGTTTCTAATTGAATTTATATATAGTTCCTAGGTGGCAAATTAATGAACTTATGAATAAAAAAGCTCATCTCTATATTTCCCAATATTTTCTTCATGTTAATACATAATAATATAATATTATAAGAAGCAAGGAAGGTAGGAAAAAGTAAAAGGACATTTTCTCTAGACTAATTTTGGTTCTCCTGGATTAGTTGTCATGTGTAAAGTTATATATAAAAGTGCATTTATTACCAGGTGAGGCTCTAAGATACATATACTCTGCTTTTATGTTCTCTTGTCCTTTAGTTGCCTTGAATTTACCTCAAACTAAAAGTTTCTGGTGAGTTCAGAACTGGGAATGTTGGCCAGGATATGCAGCATGATGATCCTAGCAATGAGGAGGACAACTGTTAAAAATCATGAAATGCTACCCAGTGTTTCCTCCAAGGAAGTGAAAAAAATAAAGGACTGAACCCATGATAACATTTTTATTCTATCAGTTTATTCTCTATGAAATTCTTCATTTCTGGCATGAGCCAAATCCCTTCAAGTTGGGAAGCTCTTTGTGAGGGGAAGAGAGGTAACAAATATCTCCTTTGTCTCACACTTGACTTCTTCAATCAAACCTATTACCTTTTCACATAAGGGGAGTCTCCAAAGCATTTCTTCCAACCCCACATGGCCATTTCTAGTCATTTTTGGTAGCCATGTGGAAAAGGATGCCATCAGATCTCGTCCCTTTTTTTTCTGCCATGTATTCATAACACCATGGCAGTATGAATTTGAACAAAATAAGTTAACAGCCATGTAAGTTGCTAATTTTTAACACTTATAAAACTGTGAGATTACCTATGTCAGGATAAGTAACATAAATAACACTATGTGTGTGTGTGTATATATATATCCTGTGTAAATGTACATAATAACTCAATCATCTGACTTTGCTAGATGCTGGAGATAAAATGATAAATGAAGATGAGGACTGTATCTTTAGGAACTTGAAGTCAACACAATAAATGGTGTTTGTGAACCTTTCATTCTTGAAAGAATAAATTGTATCACTGGCAATGAAGAAATTTTTTTCAAGCCATCAGATTGTAGTAGAGCAGAATCAAATCAAGTTTTATATCAAATTTCCTTGCTTTTAATTTTCTATAAAACTGTTCTTTCAGTAAGACTTTTCTTTAATACTTTTGGCAAAGCTATAGAGTTTATAAATATTAAAATAGTGATTCTCAGGCAAAAATTTTTGAGTCATATAACTGACTTTGTCTGCTGTCTCTTCATCTGATTCACTCTTTCTTTCTCTTTTACTTGTTCCTACTGTTATATTCTGGAATACCAGATCCCTGCTTTGTTTTAAACTTTTTTGATGAGTCCTCATCCTATTTATCATTTAAAAACCTATGACAGAATATCTATATCTTTGGCCTATTCTAAGATAATTTGTTAAAGGACTCACAAATTCTTTAAGTTAGGCAATAAAGAAGTTAAAGTCATTTGTCTTTTCCCTCACTAATAGACACAATTATAATAAATTAAAATAATTTAAGGCTGCTAATGCTTCAATTTTGTTCCATCTGCCAAATGAGTTTATGAATTGTCTATTAAGATTTGAAGAAAATAAAGAAACAATAATCAAAAAGCATTAGACACCCATAATTTGTCTTTTTTGTTCTTTCTATTCTGATGTCATAGAATACTGTAGGTGTGTGATTACTGAATAGAAAATAGAGCTCACCAACTGCTACATTTGGGTAATTCCATTAAATGGCCACCTGTTGAGGACAATGCTGGCTATTCTCCTGGGCAAGTCTGTAGGTTGCTCTCCTGTATATTAGATGAAGAATGACAGAGATCTATGAGATCGTGGATTTACTCTGAAGTTTAAAACCTAATGCTCAGAGCAAGGAGGTAGTTTAAAACAACAGAAGGTGGATTTGACCCTTAAATAAGTAAATCAGAGAATCATAAGTTGCATAAAGTTATCTGATGATAAAAGTGACCACAGCAATCATCTAGGAGTATAAGAGGCATGTGAGCCAAGTACAAAAAAACAAAACTTAGAAGGGAGGAGCTCAGATCTTCATAAGAATATATACTAATTGTTTTTTATTTAACTTTTACATTTGTTTAATTTCTGAAGATTTACCTTACTTAATCCCTAGCTTAATCAGGAGGAATCTAAGAATATTAAGATGTTCTCTATAAGGTCACTTGTTGCTAGTTGTGTTCTAATCAGTTATTTCAGATCTTAAAGCTGAATTTTCACTTTTATGAAACTCTGATATCACACGGGTAGGGTAGAGACACTTCTCCACATACTGTGCAACACTAGACAATTTAGTTACCCTTCTGAAATCTTATTTTCCTCATCTGTGATAGAGAAATGAAACAATAGCACCTACATCACAGGATCATTTTAAGTAATAAATCAAATCACTTATTCTTACATTCAATAAATATTTACTAGGTGCCAATTTTATGCAAGGCATTGTACCAGGCGCTGTGAGCAAAATGGGAAAAACAAGACCCTTATCTTCTTAGCATTTACATTTTAGTGGTTTAGGAGAAATATAGTAGTAAATATAAATAAATATAATAAACACACTATCAAATCTGATAACTAAGAAACAAATATTTTAATGTGAACAGGAAATACTCTTAAGCAACTAGGGAAATGAGACTGCAAAAGGAAATCTACCAATATAGTGTGTGCTATTGTGTAGTTTACCACTGTGGAAAGCTAGAGCTTAATCCCTCTAGAGAACTCTAGGTGTCAGTGAAGAACATTATGTTTCAAGAGCAATACCACATTGGGATCACGGGAGCTGGAATACTTTTAATATCAAATTTTATCAATCAACTTTTATCAATCATTGGTCAAGGGATGCTGAGTAGCTATGAGTTTATTTGGTAATTATGATCTGCTCTGTCCATGAGCAGAGAAGTTCAGAAAAGAGAAAGGGGATACAGAGAAATAAAGGGTTCTATAGGGGGAAACATGTCAGGAAAGGACTGTAAGAGGAAGTGATATTTGAGCTGTTAACTAAATAAAGTAAGGAGGTGACTCAGTTAAATATCTTGGGATGACCTAGGTGTGGAAAACATAAATTCTAAGATCTTGATGTGAAATCATGCTTGATACGTTTGTGACACAGTAAGAATGACAGTGTGGGAGAATACGACTATTGATAAAGATAATAAGGCCATGATGAGGGCTATAAGATTTATCTTAACTAATAAAAAGATGTTGAAAGGATTTTAAATAGGAGAATGATATAATCTAACATACCTTTTTAAATGATAGCTTTGTTTAATCATTATTAAAGGTAGACCATCAGGGAATTAGAATAAACACATCAAGACCAATTAGGAGATTCTTGTTCATATTAGGAAAGAGGTTCTTAAACTTTCAATAGTTAAACTCTTAAAAATTATTGAGAACCTCAAAGAACTTTTATTTAAATGAGTTATATCTATCTACTGCTTTAGAAATCAAAACTGAAGGCTGGGCATGGTGGCTCATGCCTGTAATCCCAGCACTTCGGGAGGCTGAGGCAGGTGGATCAACTGAGATCAGGAGTTCGAAACCAGCCTGGCCAACATGGTGAAATGCCATCTCTACTAAAAATAAAAAAAAAAAAATTAGCCAGGTATGGTGGCGTGCACCTGTAATCCCAGCTACTAGGGAGGCTGTGTTAGGGGAATCACTTGAACCCGGGAGGCAGCGGTTGCAGTGAGCCGAGATTGCACCACCGCACTCCAACCTGGGCAACAGAGCAAGACTCCATCAAAAAAAAAAAAAAAAAAAGGAAGGAAGGAAGGAAGGAAAGAAAGAAATCAAAAATGAAAAAAAAAAAAAACCTTCATTGAGATATGATTCACATACCATAAAATTCACCTGCTTAAAGTATACAGATTATTTCCTCACTCAGGTATTAAGCCTAGTTCCAATTTGTTAGTTTTCCTTTACAATAAACCCCCATGACACAAGTTTGCCTATGTAACAAACTTGCACTTGCACCCCTGAACTTAAAAGTTTTTTTTTTTAAGGTATACAGTCAATGGTTTCTTAATATTCGGAGTTGTGCAATCATTACACTTAATTTTAGAATATTTTCATCACCTCCAAAATAAATGTGTATTCTTTTCCAGTCGTTCCTCATCTCTCTATGAACCTCAGGAAACCACTTATCTACTTTTTGTCTTTACAAATTTGCCTATTCTGGATATCTGGATATTTTGTATAAGTTGAGTTATACAATAGGTGGTTTTTGTGACTAGCTTCTATCACTTAAAATGTTTTAAGGTTATATTTCATTGTGTGGATATACTACATTTTATTTATCCTTTCATCATTTGATAGACATTTCCATGTTTCCACTTTTTATCTATCACAAATAATGCTGCTATAAACATTTGTGCATATGTTTTTGTTTTTACACATGTCTTCATTCATTTTGGATAGAAAGCTGGGATAGAAAGCAATCAGAAAGCTGGATTGCTGATCATATAATAATTCTATGTTTAACATTTGAGGAAATGCCAGGCTTCCATTTTCCAATCAAAACTCAGATATTTGTAAAATACAAATAATACACAAGCACAAATTCTATTAACTCTAAAAAGTGATGCTGTTATGTTTTCCATATAAATGCTGGAGAACTCCACTATACAGCTAAGAAACAGTATGATTAAGGCAAATAACATATTAGTACAATCAGGAAAGTAACATGTAAAGAGTATGATAATTTTCTTATATGTGAAATCCTGGTGATGGGGTAGGATTGGAGTCAGTTTTGAGGTGGAAATATTATGTTTGTGATAGCTGATTTCAAAACTAGGAGAAATGATGAGAGGTGTGTAGGATTTCTAAAGTGGTGAGAAGGCCAGATGAATTTTAGAATAGGGTAGGTGCTTGATATGTAAGTTTGAGATCTATTAGCATATATATGGCATTCAAGTCATGAGTAAAAATAATATTACCTAGGGAGTGAGTGTAGATAAATCAAAAGAGATACAAGGACTGAGTCTTATAACATTCCAAAAGTTTAGGAAACCATGAGACCTCAACTTGAGAGAGTTAAAAGCAGTAACCAACGAGCCTGGAGGGAAACTAGGTGAGAGTGCAGTCTTAGAAGCCAATTGAACAAAAAGCTTTGAAGAAAGAGTTACTGACTGTGTTAAATGTTATTGAAAGGCTGAGTGAGAGAATTGATTGTGAGCTTTCTTTGCCACAGAGAGATCATGTGTGACTGCGGGTGGTTTCAAAAGAGTGGTGATAAAAATCTGATTGATGTGGTTTCAAGAACAAATAGAACCATAGGGATCTGAGAGAACTTCCTTACTCTTTGCTGCAAAGAAAGGCAGAAAAATGGAGTATAACCTAGGAGTTCAGAGGTCCAGGTCATTTTTGTTTGTTTGTTGTTTAATTAAATAGCTTACTCCATGGGTTGATAATGAAGAAAATGATATAATATAGAAGCAATCATTGATAATGAATTAAGACAATAAATAATTACTGGAGCAAGCTCTTGAAAAATAAAAGAGGATGAAATCTAGGGCACAAGTGGAAAAGTTGGCATTAGATTAGAACATGGCCACTGATACAGCAAACTGTATGTTTCTAGCTTCTATCACTTAAAATGTTTTAAGGTTATATTTCATTGTGTGGATATACTACATTTTATTTATCCTTTCATTATTTGATAGACATTTGCATTGTTACCACTTTTTATCTATCACAAATAATGCTACGAAATATCACAAATAATGGTGGGGATCTATGTCCCCACCAAATCTCATGTCAAATTGTAATCCCTAATCAGGAAGGTAAGGCCTGGTAGGAGGTGATTGCATCATAGGGGCATATTTCTCATGAATGGTTTACCACCATCTCCTTGGTACTGTCCTTGCAATGGTTAGTGAGTTCTCATGAAATCTGGCAATTTAAAAGTGTATGTCACCATTCTCGGCTCCTCCCCCTCTCATTATTGCTCCCACCATGTGAGATACCTCGCTCCCTCTTTCTCTTCCACCATGATTATGAAGTTTCCTGAGGCCTCCCGAGAAGCCAAGCAGATGCCAGCATCATGCTTCCTGAATAGCTTATGGATCTTTGAGCCAATTAAACTTCTTTTCATTATAAATTACCCATCTCAGGTATTTATAGCAATGTGAGAACAGACACTGACCACACAGAAACATGAATAACCATCAGAATATGTTATGAACACCTCTATGCACACAAACTAGAAAATCTAGAGGAAATGGATAAATTCCTAGACACATACACCCTCCCAAGACTGCACCAGGAAGAAATTGAATTCCTTAACAGACCAATAATGGGTTCTGGAATTGAATCAGTAACAAATCAAATTTTTTAAAAAGCTCAGGACCAGATGGATTCACAACCGAATTCTAGAAGAAGTACAAAAAAGAGCTAGTACCATTTCTACTGAAACTATTCCAAAAAATTGAGGAGGAGAAACTCCTCCTTAACTCATTCTATGAGGACAGCATCATCCTGATATCAAAACTTGGCAGAGACCCAACAAAAAAATAAAACTTCAGGCCAATATCTTTTATGAACATAGATGCAAAAATCCTCAATAAAATATTTGCAAACAGAATCCAGGAGCACAACAAAAAGCTTATCCACTCCTGGGATGCAAGGTTGGTTCAACATATTAAAATCAATAAATGTGATTCATTACATAAACAGTAATAAAGAAATAACCACATGATATTCTCAATAGATGCAGAAAAGGCTCTGTCTAAAATGCAACACCCTTTCATGATAAGGAATCTCAGTAAACTAGGTATTGAAGGAACATACCTCAAAATAATAAGAGCCATCTATGACAAACACACAGCCAACATCATGCTGACTGGGCCAAAGCTGGAAGCATTCTCCTTGAAAACCAGTATAAGACAAGGATGCCCTCTCTCATCACTCCTATTCAACATAGTATTGGAAGTCCCGGACACAGCAGTTAGGCAAGAGAAAGTAATAAAGGGCATCCAAATAGGAAGAGAGGAAGTCAAACTATTCTTGTTTGCAGAAGACATGATCCTATACCTAGAAAAACCCACAGCCTCAGCCCAAAGGCTCCTTAAGTTGATAAATCCCTTCAGCAAGATCTCAGGATAAGAAATCAATGTATGAAAATCACTAGCATTCCTATATACCAACAAGATAAAAGGCAAGAGCCAAATCAGAAATGCAGTCCCATTCACAACTGCCATAAAAAGAATAAAATACCTAGGAAAACAGCTAATCAGGGAGGGAAAAGCTCTTTACAATGAGAATGACAAAACACCGCTCAAAGAAATCAGAGATGACACAAACAAACAGAAAAACACTCCATGCTCATGGATAGGTAGAATCAAGATTGTTAAAATGACCATACTGCCCAAAACGATTTATAGATTCAATGATATTCCTATCAAACTACCATGACATTCTTCACAGAACTAGAAGAAAACTATTTTAAAATTCATATGGAACTAAAAAAGAGCCCAAATAGCTAAGGCAATACTAACCTAAAAGAACAAGACTGGAGGCATCATGTTACCCAACTTCAAAGAATACTACAGGGCTACAGTAACCAAAACAGCATGGTAATGATATGAAAACAGACACCTAAACCAATGGAACAGAATATACAGCCCAGAAATAAGTCTGCACACCTACAACTATCAAATCTTCAACAATCCTGACAAAAATAAGCAATGAGGCAAGGATTTTCTATTCAATAAATGGGGCTGAGATAACTGGCTAGCCATATGCAGAGGATTAAAACTAAACTTCTTCCTTACAGCATATGCAAAAATCAACTCAAGATAGATTGAAGACTGAAATGTAAAATCCCAAACTATAAAAACTCTGAAAGAAAACCTAGGCAATACAATTCTAGACAGGAATGGACAAAGATTTTATGATGCAGATTTCAAAAACAATTGCAGCAAAAGCAAAAATTATCAAACGAGATCTAATTAAACTAAAGAGTTTTGCACAGCAAAATAAACTATCAACAGTGCAGAATGGGAGAAAATTTTTTCAACTATGCATCTGAAAAAGGTGTAATATCCAGCATCTATAAGGAACATAAATTTAAAACAAAAAGACCCCATTAAAACATAGGCAAAGGACATGAATAGACACTTTTCAAAGGAAGACATCTACTTCCAACAAGCATATAAAAAAGGCTCAACATCACTGATCACTGGAGAAATGCAAATCAAAACCACAGTGAGATACCATCTCACACCAGTCAGAATGGTTACTATTAAAAAGTCAAAAAATAATAGATGCTGGCAACGTTGTGGAGAGAAAGGAATGCTTATACATTGTTGGCGATAGTGTAAATTAGTTCAACAATTATGGAAGACAGTGTGGCAATTCCTCAAAGACCTAAAAACAGAAATACCATTTGACTCAGCAATCCCATTACTGTGTATACCCAAAGCAATGTATCATTCTATCATAAAGACACATGCACGTGTATGTTCACTGCAGCATTATTCACAATAGTGAATGGAATCAATCCAAATGCCCATCAACGGTAGACTGGATAAAGAATATCTGATACAAATACACCATGCAACACTATGCAGCCATAAAAAAGGATGAGATTATGTCCTTTGCATGAACTTGGACAGCCATTGTCCCTAGCAAACTAATGTAGAAACAGAAAACCAAATACTGCATGTTCTCAGTTATAAGTGGGAGCTAAACGATGAGAGCATATCGACACATAGAAGGGAAAAATAGACACTAGGACCTACCTGAGGGTGGATGATGGGAAGATCTAGAAGAGCAGAAAAAATAACTAACAAGTACCAGGCTTACCACCTGGGTGATGAAATCATCTGTAAAACGAACCCTCATGACATGATTTTACCTATATAACAAATCTGCATGTGTACCCCTGAGCTTAAAAAAAAAATTTTAAAGATAGAACATGGACAGGTAAGTGGAAGGACATTAGTAGATCTCGTGGAAGAAGCAAAATTAATTTTACTTCTGATTGCTTCTATTTTCTTAATAGTATAAGAAGCAGTTATGAGTGAGAGGGGAAACAATGTGTTAAAAGTCTGAGGCTTGAAGAGAGATAAAATACTTAAGAAATGAAGGATAAACATACTCAGAAAACACGGTGGATTGGCAGTCAGTCAAGGTAAATAGGTATGCCCAATACCTGGTACATTGCAAGGACAAAATATTTGTAAGTAGTTTTATATTACCTAAGCCCACGTTTTTTTGTGGCCACTTCTGATATATACATCCCACTCATATTACACATCTATGCACCTGCATAATTTGTTGCTTTGATTTAAGGTATCTTCAAAGTTGAAGGGCCTTTTCTCCTTTTTATTCATCTTCTGAACCCTTACACTTTCTTTAAAATGTAATTCAAAATCCTTCCACCAGGAAACATTCTCTGTTCCCTGTTAGCAACAATTAATTTTCATTTTCTTTTCATTTATTCTTGCAGGCAAAGTGAAATTCACTGACATAAATTTTTTTATACCATTACTTTGCTTAAAATTTTCCAAAACCTCCTTATTACATAAAAATATTCCACATTTTTATATCTATCTAGAAAGTCCCTATTTTGTCCTCTTCCATTGCACCTTTCTCCACCTTCCTCAACAGGTAGAACTTGTTCCTGCCTCAGGTCCTGTCATCTCAACAGGTACAACTTGTTCCTGCCTCAGGAACTTTGTACTTGATGTTCCCTCTTTGCGGATCATGCAGGTCATTGCATATGTAACACCTTCTTATTATTCAGGTCTCAGTTCAAATATTCCTTTTTACTCTTCTTTCAGAGCTACTCTGAATGACTATGCTATCAAAAGTTGCCTAGTATGTCATTTGCTGTGAAGATAGCCTGTCTTATTTTCTTACAATTATTTATTTATGGTCTGTCTATGCCATGAGTATGTAAGCCTCATAAAGATAGGTACTACTTCTGTCTGGTTCACAGCTATACACTAAAGTCATAGAATAATGCCTGAGACAAAATACGTTGTTAATACATATTTGTTTAAGAAACAAATATTGCATGACCCTCCAATGTATTTAATTTGCTGCATATATCTATGTAGTAGCAGCAAGTTTTTGCTAGTAGTAATATGTATTACTAAAGATAATAAATCTTTACTTTTTTACAATAGTTGAACAGCCACCAGCACAGCCACCAGCTGACCAGCAGTGACCTCTGGACTGAAGTTGTTTTGAAGATAACAATGGAATATGAATTGCAAGAGAGAAACTCCATTGTAACCTTTTCTAAAGACAACTCCGTTTTCAATTTGGTCTCAACATGATGCTACAAGAGTGGTCATGTTGGGAAAAAGCCCCGACTATCTCAGCAACTCAAATTCCTTGACATAAACCGTCTGGTGGAAGGACAACCTCCAGTGATGCTTGGTTTCCAAACAAACTTTCCATTGTTCTGAATAAGGAAACTTGAAGCATCTACTAGCATTTTCCATCTATTATCTCCTAGAATCAGTGCCCACAGCTTTCCCTTAGGTATTCCTAGGACTAGATTTAGAAACTTCTCCTGGTTTGGCTATCTCTCCTGTGTACTGTCAGTGCAATAATTTTAATGGGTATAAACACACCTGGAGGCCAACAGAGCCTCTCCCAATTCCCTGTTCCTCTTTGGCTGTCTGCCCAAGGAGCTGACAATGATGACCTCAAACATAGTGTGACACTTGACTTCACCTTTTTTTTTCTTTTTAATTATCTGAAGAAATGTCTGTTTATCTCTAAACACATTGTGTTTTCATAGCCTCATCATTTGGAACACCTGGTTAACTGTTACAAAATCCATAATGTAAGTTACAAGTGGGTATTTGGCTATGAGCTAAGTCTGTTTTCTTTCCTTTCTTTCATTCTTTTTTTCCTTTCTTTCTCACATATTTGTTTAGGACTTATTGTGTGCTAAGGATAGCCATCAGTATTTGTGACAGAGAAATGGTTACATAAGATCCTGCCTTTGAACTTATGGTTAAGAAAGAGGAGAAATGTGAAAAGACAATATTGAACAATATTATATTTGCTGTAACAGCAATATCAATACGGGCTTGTGGGAAGACAAGCTCTCCCTGGTAAAAACCTTCAGAGGGAAGTTTGCATTTGAGTTGGCCGTGAGCATGGCCTGGCTTTGACTTGCTTCCCCAGTTGATTAGCAGAGTTCAGGAGCTGCCCCGAAGGATCCTCAAACTTAAAGTCCATCTCCAGGAAACATATTACTTTCCTAGAACCTAATACCAAAGTTTGACATCTCTTTGTAGAGAAATTAATAGTAATTTTCTTTCCAGCAATATGACTTGTCTTTATGCAAATGATCAAAATCTTGAAGGGATGCCTTATCCAATTTAAAGACAAAAGTCAGTATGTCTTGAGAGTGTCCTGTAAATGACATTTGAAAAAAAGTAAAACCCATATTACTATGTTTCTTATATGTCATGCTAAGCAATTTGAAATTTCTGCTTTAAAAAGTATTTAAGTCCAACAGAAGTTTTTAGTCAGGTTTTCAGTTCTTCCTTTACTAATGAATGGCAAATATCAAAACTTGTTTTGTCAAGAATTGGTAATTTCAGCAGATGCCTGGCACAAAATAGGAGCTTAATATACATATTTTTGAATTAATAAGCAATCACATAATATTTATGTACCAACTCTGGTTAGCCAGATATGTGCTGTGTGTTTCATCTTTTGTTTCATATAAATTTGATTTCTGCACTGCCCTAAATCAAGATTCCTAAAATCATTTTTTTAATATCTCACAACACAAGTAATATGAATCTTATCCTTCAAGCTTAGTAAATGTTATTTTATACTGCTACTACTAATAAATATCTAAAATATATATTGTGCTTTATTATTTTCAAAATATTTTAATCCTCTTTATCTCATCTTATCCCTACATTGATTTTATGGAATTCCTATTACTATTTTACTAGAGAGAACTCTGAGTTAAAATATGTGTTAAAGCAAGTCATACAGCTAGTCATTGGCTGAGACAGGACTAGGATCAAAGTCTTATAGGAATTCATCGATTAACTTTTCTTTATTCAGAATTATCTTTTTAAGAGACCATTTGAGTGTGATATTTAAAAAGTGGTTTTTGTTTTTTTGTTTGATTTTTAAGAAAAGATTACTTAGTCTTTAGAGAAGGCTAGTCTAAGTCAGTGTATCACAAAGTGGTAGTGAGATAGCAGGGGATAGAGAGGTTTAAGAAAATTATCAGAATCACTTGGCCCCCATTCAAGCCCCACCCAAAGAAAAATCTCTAGATGGGTCCTGATATCTTTATTTTTATATATCCTGGGTAATTCTGATGATCACACATGTTTTATATTCCCTGGCTTGTTGATGTCTTTGATTGTTTACTTCACTAAAATTCTTTGAGTTTCTATTTTTTTAAGTTGTGGCTAATTTTTTCTTAACTGACACCAGAACCCTATCATTTTTCTTAACTGATATTAGAAGCCTATCATAAATTCTCTCTTTGCCCCATTTTTAGTCCCACAATCTGTGAGACAAATGAAAAGTCATGCGACCTTTTCTGGGCAAAAAGAAGGTACTGTCAAATTCTGCAGATGTGTACTCCTAAAGAAGCCAGACGCTAGGAAGTATAAAATGGAAACTAATTGTGGTTTATTAGTATAAGACATTTTATGGGAGTCAATTATGCCAGCAATCTGACCTGGTTTCACATGAACAAAGGGACCTTATTATACCATGAACTGGTATAAGGTAGTGCTAAAATGTGTGCTTTGGTTGTCCAGAAAATAGGGAAAATTGAGTTATTTGTGCCAACCGAACTTGAGTCAACTCTCTCCTGCTGACTTGGCCCATATCAGACTGTCATCCTGCTGAATACCCTCTATCTTCT